>NC_000011.10:49453939-49756969 GCF_000001405.40 Homo sapiens | reverse complement strand
TTCCATTATATCACACAGAAACTTGTAAATCTAACTATCTTTCAACTAATAGAAAAACCTACATTTTTAGTGAGAAACAAAATGAGATGGACAGAGAGGAACAAATTAACATTATTAAGCATTGTTAAGGTATTCCTGGAAATTTTTGTGAGACTAATGAAAGCTACATGTTTCAGAAGATATCATATTATCATAAATGCACAGAGTAATGAAATATAAAATTAATCACCAAGGAAGAAGCATATTAAGATGTAGGAAACAAGGCACTAACACAATGTAATAAGATAAATTCAATCATCTAAAAATTATAATACAAAGAAGTGATGCAAATTAGTAATCATTTAAATGTTACATTTTATTAAAGTGAGCCTTCTAAAAGATAAATTCATGATAATTTAAGGTGAGGTTGCAATTATTTCTCCTTCAAGACCTTTATATTTTTATATATTAGCTATTATTATTAAGAGATAGGCAATATTTAAAAATATATAAATTGTGAGGGAGGCAGAAGAAGATGGCAGATAGGAAGCTACAAAGATCTTCCCTCTCCCACTGCAAGGAAGGGATGAAAAATATATTTCACACAAATAGAAACTAGAATAAGAGATTTTAATAAACAGACCTGAATCACTGACACCACCCCTTCCTCACCCTGGCAGTGACAGAGAGCATCTCTGGGAATTTAGAGAGGGAAAACACAGCAATTGTGAGGTATTGAATAAAAAACAAGGAATCAAAGCATATTACTAGAAAAAATCACTTAATCACAAAGAAAAAATGTAAAAGAAGAAATGAAAAAAGGATCAACAAATCAACTGGAAAACAAGTAACAAAATGACAGTAGTAACCCCTTACCTATCATTTACCTTAAATGTAAATGAAATTCTTCAATCAAAATAAAACAGAAAGGCTGAATGAATTAAAAATAAAAAAGACCCAACTGTATGCTGCATACAAGAAACTCATTTCATCTATAAAGACACATGAAGACTGAAAGTGAAGTAAGGAATGAAAAAGATATTCCACACAAATGGAAACTAAAATAAAGCAGGAGTAGCTATACTTACATTAGGCAAAATAGAGCTTAAGCCAAAAACTGTAAAAAGATAAAGACATTCACAATGATAAAAGGGTCAATAGAGCAACAGGATATAACAAGTATAAATATACATGCACTCAACATAGGAGTGCCTAAATATATAAAGAAAACATTAATAGACTTAAAGAAAGAGATTGCACTGCAGTACAATAATAGTGGTGGGTTTCAACACCCCACTTTTGGCAATAGACAGATCATCCAGATATAGTGAAACATCAGTTTCTTTACAGAGTTAAGCCACACTGTAGACCAAATAAACCTAATAAATGTTTACAGAAATATTCATGTAACAGCCTCAGAATATGTATTTTTCTCATCTGCACATGGAACATTCTCTAGGATAGACCATATGTGAAGTAAAAAAAAATAGTCTTATCACATTTAAAAATGTTAAAATTATATCAGATAACTTTTCTAACCAAAATATAATAAAACTAGGAATCAATAACATGAGGAACCTTGGAAAATGTACAAATAAATGAAAATTAAACAACATGCTCCTGGGCAACTAATGAGTAATGAAGAAATTGTGAAGAAACATTTTTGAAGAATATTGATACAAATGAAAATGGAAACCCAACATACCAAATCCTATGGGATGCTGAAAAAGAAGTTATAATAGGAAAGTTTATAGCAAAAACACTTATATCAAAAATGTAGAAAGATTCCAAAGAAATAAGCAAAAGTTGCATTTCTAAAACCTAGAAAAATGAGAACAAAATAAACCCCAAACTAGTAACAGAATGAAGAAATAATAAAGATCAGAGCATAAACAGAATATAGACTAAAAATAAATATACCACAGAAATACAAAGGATCATTACAGACTCTTATAAACAACTATACCCCTAACAAATTAGAAAACCTAGAAGAAATGGATAAATTTATGGATATGTACAACCTACCAAGATTGAATAATGAAGCCACAGAAAAACTGAACACCTGAACAGACCAATAATGAGTAATGATATTGATTCAGAAAGGAAAGTTCAGCACTAGATATATTCACTGCCAAATAATTCTATCAAGCTTTTAAAGAAGAAATAATACCAATCTTTCTGAGATGATTTTAAAAAAAAGGAAGTACAAGGAATCCTTTTAAATTCATGCTTGCATGGTATTTGCATAAAAAACAGACATATAGATCAATGGAACAGAATAGAGAACCCAGAAATAAATCCATGCATTTCCAGCCAACTGCTTTTTGACAAAGTATCAGAACACACATTG
Source organism: Homo sapiens (assembly GCF_000001405.40). Classification (NCBI taxonomy): domain Eukaryota; kingdom Metazoa; phylum Chordata; class Mammalia; order Primates; family Hominidae; genus Homo; species Homo sapiens. The sequence goes on along the minus strand of NC_000011.10, from coordinate 49,754,640 downwards.
GGGAAGGGACAGTCTCCTTAATAAAGGGTGATGATAAAACTGGATACTCACATGTTGAAGAATGACACTATAACGGTATCTCTTACCACTTACAAAAATCAACTCAAATTGGATTAAAGACTTAAATGTAAGACCTGAAACTATGAGATACTAGAAGAAAACACAGGAAAAAATGCTTTATGACATGGCTCTGAACAAAAGTTTTTTCAATAAAACCTGAAAAGCAGAAGCAACAAAAGAAAAAGTAAACAAATAAGAGAATTATATCAAACTAAAAAGCTTCTGCACAGCAAAGGAAAAAATCAAGAGTGAAGAGACAAACTGCAGAATGGGAGAATATATTTGCAAACTATGCACCTGAAAAGGGGTTAATATTAAGAATATATAGGCATACATGGGAGATATTGCTGTTTTGATTTCAGACCATTACAATAAAGCAAATATCAGAGTAAAGTGATTCACACAATTTTTTGCTTTTCCAGTGCATATAAAAGTTATAATACCACACTGTAGTTTATGAAGTGTGCTATAACATTAGGTATAAAAAATGGACATACTTTAATTTTAAAATACATTTTTGCTAAAACATGCTAATGAATATCTGTGCCTTCAGCAAGGCATAATATTTTTGCTGATAGAGGATCTTGTCTTGATACTGATGGCTACTGATTGATCAGGGCGGTGGCTGCTGAATGTTTGGGTGGCTGTGGCAATTTCTTAAAATAACAATGAAGTTTGCCACATGAATTGACTGTTTTTTTTTTTCATGAAAGATTTCTTGGTAGCATATAATGCTGTTGGATAACATTGTACCCACAGTAGAACTGCTTTTAAAATTGGAGTCAATACCCTAAAACCCTGCTGCTGCTTTATCAACTAGATTTAGGTAATTGTCTAAATCATTGTCATTTCATCAAGGCTTACAGCATCTTTGCTGTAGCAGATTCCATTTCAAAAAAGCACATTCTTTGCTTATCTATTAGAAGCAACTTCTCATCCACTCAAGTTTTACCATGAGATTGTATAAATTCACATTGTCAGGCTCACCTTCTAACTCTGGTTCTCTTACTCTTCTACTACATCTGTAGTTACTTCCTCTACTTGAAGTCTTGAACCCCTCAAAATCATCCATAAGGCTTGGAATCAACTTTTTCCAAATTCCTGTTAATATTGATATTCTGACCCACTCCCATGAATCACTAATATTTTTAATAGTAATTAAAATGTTGAATCCTTTCCAAGAGATTTTCAATTTACTTTGCATAGATTAATCTGAAGAATCACAATCTGTGGCAGCTATAGCATTATGAAATATATTTCTGAAGTAATAAGAATTGAAATCCAAAATTTCTCCCTGATCCATGAGCTTCAGGATAGATGTTGTCTTAGCAGGCATGAAAACAACATTAATCTCCTCGTAACTTTTCATCAGAGCTTTTGGGTGCATTGTCATAAAGCAGTAATATTTTGAAAGGAAGCTTTTCTTCTTAAGAGTAGTTCTTAACAGTGGGCTTAAAATATTCAGTAAAGCATTCTATAAACAGATATGCTGTCATCCAGGCTTTGCTATTCCATTTTTGAGCACAGGCAGAGTACATTTAGCATAGCTCTTAAGGGCCTTGGGGTTTTTGGAACAATAAAAGAACACTGGCTTCAACTTAAGGTCACCAGCTGCATTATCTCTAACAGAGAGTCAGCCTGTCCTTTGAAGCCTTGAAGCAGGAATTCACCTCTCCTCTCTAGCATGAAAGTCTTAGATAGCATCTTCTTCCAATATAAGTCTGCTTTGTCTACGTTGAAACTGTATTGTTTAGTGTAACCACCTTTATCAATTATCTTATATCTGGATGACTTGCTGCAACCTCTGCAATAGTACTTGCTACTTTACCTTGCACTTTTAGGTTATAGAGATGGCTACTTTCCTTACACTCCATTAACCAAACTCTGTTAGCTGCAATCTTTCCTTCTGAAGCTTTCTCACCATTCTCAGCCTTGAGCCAGTTGAAAAGATTCAAGGCCTTGCTATTAATTAGACTTTGGCTTAAGTGAATGTGGTGGCTGGTTTGATCCAGACCACTAAAACTTTCTCTGTATCTGCAATAAGGCTGTATCAGATTCTTATAATTTATGTGTTCACTGGAGTAGCATTTTTAAAATTTTCTTCAAAAATTTTTTATTTGCATTCACAACTTGACTAAGTGGCACAAGAGGCCTAGGCTGGTTAGTGTATCTGGGCTTTTGACACACCTTCCTCATTAAGCTTAATCATTTCTAGCTTTCATTTAAAGTAAGAGGCATGTGACTCTTTCTTCCAGTTGAAAATTTAGAAGCCATTGTAGATGATTAATTGGCCTAACTTCAATATTGTTCTGTCTCTGACAACAGGGAAGCCCCAAGGAGCAGGACACAAAAGGGAGAGTGGCCCATTGGTGGAGCAGTCAGAACACAAATGTTTATTGATTAAGTTCACCAACATAGATGGGCATGATTTGGGATTCCCTAAACACAGATAAAAAATGTGGTATACAAACACAATGGAATACTATTCATCCATAAAAAAAGAATGAAATTGTGTTATTTGTGATAGCATGGATGAAACTGGAAGACATTATGTTAAGTTAAAGAAGCCAAGCACCTAAGGCCTAATAATGCATGATAGCAATCATAATTGGAATCTTAATAAGTTGAGCTCATTGAAGTAGAGAGTAGGATAGTGGTTACCAGATGCTGGAAACAGTAGCAGGGAAGAGGGGAGCGGAGAGGTCAGTCAAATGGAACAAAATTACAGTTAGATAGGAGGAATGAGTTCTGGTGTTTTATTGCACAGTAGTGTGACTATAGCCAAGAATAAGGTATTACATACTTCAAAGTAGCAAGAAGAGATGATTTTGACAAGTGTTTGAGGTGAATAATATGCTAATTACCCTGGTAAATTAGCACATGAAAATATTTCCATCATTAGACATTAGAAGAATGCAAATTAAAAACAATTAGATAATTTCACACAAGTATTAGAAAGGCTAAAGTGAAAAAAAGGAAACTAAATGCTGGCAAAGATGTGAAGCAAGGGCAACTCTCATACATTACTGGTGAGAATACGAAATGGTATAGATATTTGGGGAAGAGAAATATTTATCTTTTTCATTAAGCAGTTTATTATTAAGGCAGTTTATCATTAAGAAATATAACATATCAGCCTGGGCCAGTGGCTCATCACTGTAATTCCAGCACTTTGGGAGGCCAAAGCAGATGTATGGATGTATGGCTTGGGCACAGGAATTTGAGATCAGCCTGGGCAACATGGCAAAACCCTGTTTCTACAAAAAAAATATGAAAATTAGCTGGGCATAGTGGCACATGCCTGTAGTCTCAGCTACTTGGAACTTGGGAGGCTGAGGTAAGAGGATCACTTAAGCCCTGGAAGCAGAGATTGCAATGAGCCAATATGCTGATGCTGCACTTTAGCCTAGGTGACAGAGAGACTCTGTGGAAGAAAAAAAAAAGAAGAAGAAAGAAAGAAAGAAGGAAAGAAAGAGAAGGAAAGTAAAATATACCAAATGACTCAGCAATCTTATTGTAATCATCCAAGAGAAATAGCAATTTATGTTCACAGAAAATCTACACAAAGTTTATTTACTCCAGGTATATAAAATTGCCAAATTTGGAAAAAGCAAAAAAGCACAGATGTTCTTCGATAGGTGAATTATTAAGCAGGACACCATGCACCAGTTGCCAATCCCTGGAGAGGACTCCAAATATTTCTGCCCATTGCATTTTGGTATTGCAGTTATCATGGGAATCACAACACCGTCAAGCACTGGATGGAACAACTCTTTATTTACATAGAGAGGAAACAGAGAAAAATTCATTCTGAGAGTATTTTTCAATACCCCATGGCCAGGGGGTCTCTCCTAGCAATGAATGCAGGGTAATTGCCCATGCACACTCCTTGAGTGCCGCAGAAGGTCCCTATTCCCTCCCCACAGTGGAGTTGGCCAAGTGCCAAGTGATACACTTGCTTAAACAGAACAAAGGGACATATACTAGGCTGGCAATGGAGAAAGATATTCTCACACAAGGCAATAGGCCCTGCACAGGTGGTGTGCACTCTTTATCTTGGGAAGAAAGTATTCCAGGCCCAAAATCCATTAGGTGGCTAAGTAGGAGAAAGACTGTACTCATGAGACTGTCTTTTCCAACATGAATGAATTAACCAAGTGTAGTTCATCAGTACAATGGAATACTCATCATCAATAAAGAGAAACAAACTAGTTGTTCATGCAATGGCTTGGATAAATTCCAAATGTATTATGCTAAGAGAAAGAAATTAGACTAAAAAGGTTTCATACTGTATGATTCCATTTAGGGCTTTCTGGAAAAGAAAAAACTATAAGAATAAAAATCAGATCAGCAATTGCAGCACATAAAAGAGAATGGCACAAATTACTTTTAGGCAATTTGGCGGGGGGAGGCGGTTGATGAAACTTTTCTGTACCTAGTTTTGATGATAAAAATGTGTATATTTGTCAAAAGCAATAAAGAGAGAATTTTTTCAAAAAGTGAATTTTGTTGTATATAAATTTAGATGTCAGTTATAGGATAAGAAATACTATGGAAATTGTAAATAAAATATAAAATGTGAGGAAAAATTTTGTATAAATATTTAACTGAGAAGGACTCTAAATATAAATGTAATAAAAGGGGTCATGAGTGCAAAGTGAATAAATAGATTAAAATGTAACATTTTCCTCTCTTAAAAATGACAAACTGGGAGGAAGTATCAGGTAATCACAGATCTGACTTGTATCCAGAATATAGAAAGTAATCTTAGTACTCAACAACAAGAAAATAAACAATACAATTTTTTAAATTGGGAAAATTTTAAATAGACATACCATAAAAGAGCTTAAGTCTTTAAGTTAGATATGAATATTATATTAATAATTAATAAAAAATGGCAATGCTAGTAGAAAAATGAATAATTAGCAAATTTCAAAAGAGAAATTTAGAGTAATAAATAAATGTAAGAAAAACACACACATTAAAAAAGCTGGTGAGAAATCTACCTGCAACCAGTCTCCTTCCCTTTCTTTCTTTTATAATGTCAGCCATATGTTTCCAAGATTTTCATCACCTTTCTATATTTATATGAGCATATTTTTTCTCGATTAATATGAAATAATTCCTGAGTAAATATTTTTTACCTGTTTATTTTATCTACCTTTCATCTACCTCGGTAGATGAAATGATCAGTATGGCAAGCATTATCAGATAATCTGCTTTTAGTACTATGAGGCTCTCAGCAGATTGCCTATAGAGCTGAAATCACAGCTCTTTCTTTGCAGTAAATTTTCAGTCTTTATTAAATATTACTTAATATTTCCATGAGGATGGAAGGTGGGGTGGGAGGAAACAAAACTAAACACTAGTCTTATTATAGAGAAATAGATACATGTATTTAATGAAGAAAATGAATAAGCCTTTAATGAAGTGGTTTGGGTACACAGGGAATTTCTGGAGAAATGCTTGAGATTTCAATATGAAAGACTGGAGAGGAGATGGTATGAGAATTTTGACATGAGCCAGCCAAGTCTTAGACAAGAATAGAAGCATCTTTTGCTAGGCATGAAATAGACAGCATGCAATTTTTGGCTGTTTGATTGCCAACAAAGAAGGCTATGAGGTAGGGAAGAGAGAGAAAAGAAGCATGAAATAAAGGAAAAAGAAGGTCTTAACAGAAACAAAAATGTGAAGAGCAAGCAATGCATAAATATTAGGTAGAGCACATGAATAAATAAACTGAAATTGCAAATATGCATTGAAGAGATTATGGCAATAGGAGAAAAGTGAATAAAAATTGTACATTTTGTGTATTTCTCTAACTCTCATATTATTCATTCATTCTAACAATATGTATTAGTCAGCTTTTTTGTGAATAGGACCCAAAATTGGTATAGTTCCATATAAGAATAACATACACTGAATTAACCTTATAAAAAGCCTTCCTTATATTTACATTTAAACAACAACCCTGGAATACAATTCTTTCCTCATTTTAAACTTGAAATTTCTGAATTTCTTTAAAGTTATTACTGAGCAAGAACTTGGTAGGAGGTCTTCTGACCCTGGTCCATTGTGTTTCCCACAAAACCATTTGACTTATATCATGACAAGACATGTGGCTTCAATAATTTGTTATCCTATCGGGAAATCTTAAGTAAATAGAATGTTTTAAGGGAAACATGATTTACTGACAAAGGAGAGGTACAAACAACTAAGTGTGATGGGGAAGTGTCTAGACTTTAAAGTCTTATTGGATTGGGGTCAATTCTCTTTCTGCACATACTATTTGTGTAACTTTACACAAATCACTTTAAGACTCAGTGTACTGCCTGTGGAAAAAAATTGCAAAACCTATCTTATAGAATTGCTGTGAAATTAAATAGTTAATATAGGTCAAGAAGGACACAACACTGACCCTCAATAAATGACAGGAATTACGGTAAAAGGCAATAACACTATATATTAGAGAAGTCCGGGAAAGCCTAAATGAAGGTGGCATTTTCTTTGGTCCCTTAGTAGGATTTATATAGCCAGGGGAAGGACATTAAGTGACATGTATTTTTCAGCGTAAGCTTCAAATTAAAAAAAAAATTATTAGAAATAAGACTGTTAACTCCATCTCATTTTCTTTCTAAAGGAATCCTCTTAAAAACTTTAATTTTTAATGGATTTGAGACTTTAAAAGTTTGAGACTATCATAATGATTTTAAACAATTTCTCTAAAAATGTTACCATGCTTAACCATAATAGGCCTCAAAAAAAAAAAAAAAAACTGTCACCTTGATTTCTTCAACTATGATGATCAACAAGAGATGAACTTCATGGATTTAATAACTGTAGAAAGTTACTTGGCAGATGGCAAAAGATAAACATCTTCTGCGATAAAATAATGATATTAAACTATAATATATCAAAAGAATCTGAAAACTTAAAAAACAAGTTAGTTTGGTTTCAGTTATATGGAATAGCAAGCAATCAAAAACGTATTTATTTTCTCTTCACTAGAAGAAAAGCAGTAACTCTTCAAAAAGATGAAACTGAGTTCAAGTATAAATGGAGACTGTAGTAACAAAGGATGAAAATCATGTGAACTCAGTTCTCTTTTAGACTTTTCTAGTTCTCATTTAAATAGTGGCCATTTGTTTTGCTCTTGCTAGCTTCAGCTTCAATACTCCAATTTCCTATGGGAGACTCTTGGGTTTTGTGAAACACAAAATGGAAAAAAAAAATCTTTATTGTTCTGTGAAAATTACAAACTAATTATTTAAAAATTTTGAATACAAATCATATCCTACTTAAGAAAGAATCCAGTGGCATAATGAGTACTTATATAAAACTGTTTGAGGCTTTGGAGTTCTTGGAAATTTGTCATTTTCTATACAAAATACAAATCAGAATTGATGGAATGCTGGGCACGTTGGCTCACACCTATAATTCCAGCACTTTTGGATGCCAAGGTGGGCAGATCACTTGAGCTCAGGACTTTGAGACCAGCCTGGTCAACACAGGGAAACCCCGTCTCTACTAAAAATACAAAATTAGCTGGATGTGATAGCATCTGTAATCCCAGCTATGCGGGAGGCTGAGGAAGGAGAATTGCTTGAACCCAGGAGGTGGAGGTTGCCATGAGCTAAGATTCTGCCACTGCACTCCAGCCTGAACAACAGAGTGACACTCTGAATCAAAATAAGTAAATAAATAAATAAATGATAAAAAGAAAAATATCATGCCTGTAATCCCAGCACTTTGGGAGGCTGAGGCGGGTAGATCACGAGGTCAAGAGATCGAGACCATCCTGGCTAACATGGTGAAACCCCATCTCTACTAAAAATACAAAAGAAAAAAATTAGCCAGGCGCGGTGGCGGGTGCCTGTAGTCCCAGCTACTCGGGAGGCTGAGGAAGGAGAATGGCGTGAACCCAGGAGGTGGAGCTTGCAGTGAGCCGAGATAGCGCCACTGCAGTCCGGCCTGGGCGAAAGAGTGAGACTCCGTCTCAAAAAAAAAAAAAAAAGAATTGATAGAATGAAATTCACCTCTCATTCAGCCCCTTGTAAAATTGTGTGGAGACTACAATTTATTTATTATATTAATAAATATGTCAGCCTATAAATAGCTAATAATTTCAATAATTTCATTGAATTCAAGATCAAACAGCTGATGTCATGTTTATTATTATTAATTATTTTGTATTTCCATATGACAAGGTTTGGCTGTGTTCCCACCCAAATCTCAAATTGTAGCCCAAATAATTCCCACGTGTCATGGGAAGGAGCCAGTGGGAGGTAACTGAATTATGAGGGTGGGTCTTTCCCATGCTTCTCATGACCGTGAATAAGTCTCACAAGATCTGATGGTGTTGTAAAGGGGAGTTTCCTTGCCTATGCCCTCTCTCTTGCCTGCCAACACATAAGACATGACTTTGCTCCTCTTTTGCCTTCTGCTATGATTTTGAGGTCTCCCCACCCACGTGCAACTGTGAATCCATTAAACCTCTTTCCTTTATAAATTAACCAGTCTTGGGTATGTCTTTAATAGCAGTGTGAGAACAGACAAATACAGTAAACTGTTACTGGTTGAGTGAGATACTTCTGTAAAGATACCCCAAAACGTGGAAGCAACTTTGGAAGTGGGTAACTGGGAGACAATGGAACAGTTTGGATGGCTCAGAAGAGGACAGAAAGATGTGGGAAAGTTTGGAACTTCCTAAAGACTTGTTGAATGGCTTTGACCAAAATGCTGATCATGATATGGACAACGAAGTCCCATTCAGGTGATGTCAGATGTAGATGAGGAACTTGTTGGGATAACTAGGTCACTCTTTCTATGCAAAAAGACTGGGCATTTTGTCCCTGCTTTAGAGATCTGTGGAACTTTCAAATTGAGAGAGATAATTTGGGGTATCTGGTGGAAGAAATTTCTAAGCAGCAAAGTATTCAAGAGGTGACAGGGCATAAAAGTTTGGAAAATTTTCAGCCTGATGATGCAGTAGGAAAGAAAAACCAATTTTCTGGGGAGAAATTCAAGCCATCTGAAGAAGTTTGCATAAGTAACAAGAAGCCAAATACTAATCACCAAGACAGTGGGGAAAATGTCTCCAGGGCATGTCAGAGACCATCATGGCAGTCCTTTCCATCACAGGCTTGGAGGCTTAGGAGGAAAAAAATGGTTTAATGGGCAGACCCCAGGGCCCACTTGCTGTAGGCAGACTCAGGACATGGTGCCTTGCATCCCAGCTGTTTCATCTGCAGCCCCGATCCTTGGCAACTTACACATGGTGTTGGGACTGTGGGTACACAGAAGTCAAGAACTGAGGTTTGGAAACTTCCATATACATTTTAAAGGATGTATGGAAATGCCTGACTGTCCAGGCAGAAGTTTGCTATGGGGTCAGGGCCCTCATGGAGAACCTTTGCTATGGCACTATGGAAGGGAAATGTGGGATTGGAGGCCCCACACAGAGTCCCCACTGGGGCACTGCCTAGTGGAATTGTAAGAAGGCCACTGTCCTCCAGAAATCCAGAATGGTAGATACACCTACGGCTTGCACTGTGTGCCTGGAAAAGCCACAGATACTCAATGCGAGCTCATGACAAGAGCTGGAGCTCTACACTGCAAAGTCACAGGGGCAGAGTTGCCCCAAGACATAGGAACCCACCTCTTGCATCAGCATGACTTGGATGTGAGACATGGAGTCAAGAGAGATCATTTTGGAACTTCAATGACTGTTCTATTGGATTTTGGACTTGCATGGAGCCTGTAGCCCCTTTGTTTTGGCCAATTTCTTCCATTTTGAATGGGTATATATACCCAATGCCTGTACCCCACTCTGTCTAGGAAGTAAGTAACTTGCTTTTGATTTTACAGGCTCATGGGAGGAAGGAACATGCCTTGTCTCAGATGAGACTTTGGACTGTGGGCCTTTTAGTTAATGCTGAAATGAGTTAAGCCTTTTGGGGACTGCTGGGAAGGTATGACTGTGTTTTGAAATGTGAAAGGGACATGAGACTTGGGAGGGGTAAGAGGTAGAATGACACAGTTTGGCTGTGTCTCTACCCAGATCTTGAATTATAGCTCCCATAATTCCCATGTGTCACAGGAGGGACCCAGTGGGAGGTAATTGAATCATGAGGGTGGGTCTTTCCCATGCTATTCTTGTGGTAGTGAATAAATCTTATGAGAGCTGATGGTTTTATAAAGGGGAGTTCCCCTGCACATGCTCTCTCTCTTGCCTGCTGCCATGTAAGACATGACTTTGCTCCTCCTCTGCTTTCCGCCATGATTCTGAGGCCTCCCCAGCCATGTGGATTTGTGAGTTCATTAAACCTTTCTCCTTATAAATTACCCAGTCTTGGATATGTCTTTATTACCAGCATGAGATCAGACTAATACACCATATTTGTCCTTAAAATTGAATAATATTTCCATATTTCAAAATTTCCACATTACTGCCTTAACTGAATTACTCATTCCTAAGATCTGAAAAGAAGCCATTTTTAAAATAATATTTTATTTATATAATATGTTTATAAATGTTTCTGAATTTATATATATTATAAAATGAGGTACATCCCATTCTTGTTTTATCCTATTTTTTAGGCTCTAGTTTAAATCAGTTTAAATATGTAATTGTTATGTTTTAGATCTTCCATCTACTGAACCACAACTCAATGTGCAGAAAGGAAAAAAATACAAATCAAGATTAAATCCTCTGAAACGTATGTTTTATAAATATACAACAAATGGCAACTCAGTAAAAGCATTATGATTATTCCACTTAAATTTCATTATAATTAGAAATCCTATAGAAAAATCCATCGAGAACTTTGATTTTTAAATTACAGTCATCATTAATAAAATTTCTGAATTCTATAGTAGTTACCTTTTTTTTTTTTTTTTTTTTTTGGTAAACCAGCTGTGTTTAAAGCTGGGAGTTAGGGGACTTTAGAAAGGTATTTGAATAGTACAGTATCCCTCCTTAAAAAGTTTTTCAGCTCCAGTAAGAGAAACAAATTAATATATAAATAAGGTTTCCACAGATAACCTGCCTTTAAAACAAACCAAACCAAAGAGGCAATATGCAGTTCTCATAAAAAAATCTCCAGTCTCTTTGATATAGAAGTTAAAAAGAAATCACTTAGGGAGATAGCAAGGGTTTGAGAATCCTCAGTCACGCTTTTTATTTCATGAAAAGCAGCCCCAAATCATTTACTAACAAATAGCAGCCTGGAAAGTTGAGCTGCAGATGTAGACAAGCGAGCTGGGAGATTGCACAGGTGAATGTTGGCAGGAACTAAGGACTAGACATTTTCAAGATGGCAGCTCCATTCTTCCCTTCTCTGCCAGCCATGTATACTGTAAAGAGCAGACAAGATGGTGCCAATCAACCGGAAAGCCTATTTGCATAATAAGATTAAGGTGGGGTGACCAGCCTTCTCTGCACTCTATGTAAACATCATACCTGATCAAACCAATCTATGAGCCCTATATAAATCAGACATTGCCCCTTCAAACTGGGCTATATATTTTGGTGCATTTGCAGCCAGCCAGTCCTTTCCACTCAGAGACCTGTATCTCTATAGAGAAAGCTGTTTCTCTTTCTCTTCTCTTCTGCCTATTAAACCTTTGCTCGTAAACTTCTCATGTGTGTCTGTGTCCTAAACTTTCCTGATGCGTGACGACAAACCCTGGGTTTACACCCCAGACATAGCTGCTTTATAATGGGGGCTCGTCCGGGATAACAACATACAACATTCATCGAGATGGTGAGTAGAGGAGCAGACTCCAACTCTGTCCTTTTATTCTGAGGCCCTTGGCTTCCATTTTAGAACCAGATCAAACCAAATATGGGGCCCCTTTCAGCCATTTAAAAATGATTAGCATGGCTGCCAGCCTTACAAGACTTGAGGGACAGGATTGCTAGGGAGAACATGGAGCATCCCCCAGTACCCATGGGTCACTGGGCATACTGGCCCTGTTTGAACCAGCTTCCTTTCATGGAGGACTTAGCTGTCATGTGGGGCTGGAAGAAGTCCTGGTGCACCTGAGGATTTCCGGCCAGGGTTACCACCATTGTTATCCAAAGGTATTTGGACTGACCCCAGCCTCTGACTACCCTGATGAGATGTCGGTAACAGAATCTCCAACCTTTTATCATAATTTCCTCCCTTCCTGTCTTCGATCGTCATATCTATTTCATCCTCTCTGTGTATGCAATGTATGGGAAATTTTATAGTTCAGGGAGGTAATCTTGTTTGGTAAGATGAGGGAATGTCATAGTAACCAGGGATATAGCTCAAGGGAGGGCATCTTTGTGATTTTCAAGGAACAGAGGGTCACCCTCACCATAGGGAGCATCTCTCTCTGCCCTTGGTCTGAAAAGCACATGACATTTCAAGGCCAGCAGCCCCACCTAGTGTAATAGGGATCTTTTCCATGAGGCACATCATTGGTCCTTTACCAAAACACCCTAGCTAACCAATTCTCTCCCTTTTTGCATCCCTCTACTAGACACCATGCTTTATGTTGCTTCTGTTAACAGGAAAACTCTACCTTCAACAATTAGGATTAAAATGTCCCCTGGAACCGAATGTTAGTTCTTGATACTGTCCCATCAGCAGGAAAATGGCCATTTAGTCCCTACATTTTTAAGGCACCTATTCTGCCTCCAATTAGAATGGTACTTAATTAGTAAGGGGATTTTAAGTCTGGAAGTTAACCAGAACCATTATCTAAGGGTAAATGCTTTAGTACAGCCCATAATATCAGGTATAGATTTCAGTCTAGCCCCTCCATTAAAGAGGCCTTGCCCAACTATTATGTAGTGTTTTGTTTTGTTTTGTTTTGTTTTTTTGAGATCTATTTTTCCGGAAGCCAGACAGGCCACATAAGTCTAGGAAGTCAAAGGGAAATCACAGGCAGAGGACAGAGGACTAGAGCCACTTGGGTGAGTGTGACAAACCCCAATCTCTAAATGCCTCTGTTTCCATGGCTGGCAGTCATGCCTGCAACCATGGGTGGCATATTCAACAAGGTGCCGGGACCCAGGAACCATGGAGGGAATACAGCAAGGGGAATGCTCCCACTGTCTTCCTCTCCACTCTGTGTCACACGAAAAGGAAGGAGACTAAAGGGAAGCCTTTTTGTCATTTCTCTTTCTAGATGGGACCATATTCAGCCTGTACTCCCCTGGAGTGCATTCTGAAGTACAGGGACTCCTCTTAACCTGAGACTTTAAAGAAAAAGCAGCTCATTTTCTTTTGCACAAGGGCATGGCCTTTTTACTAGATCCTTGCAAGCACTGCAAAATGAATCCAGCTCTTTTAGCAATCATATCAGGCAGGCCAAAAGAGAATAATTCCCCAAAATGAGAAAAGCAACTTCCAGGGGAACCATCCGAGGCAGCTATTGGGTGTACCAGCCCTTCCAGTCCTCCTTAACCGGGGCCACCTCCAACCACACCACCAGTTCTTCTACCTCCACCATGTCCAAAATTTTCCATTCCATCACCTTCTCACTTACCCCTACAGAAAATACATAATTGAGGTGATGCCACTAGGATTCAAGTACCCTTCTCATTGCAGGACCTCAGGCAATTAAAGGGAGACTTAGGCCAATTTTCTAATGACCCTGATGGGCATATAGAAGTTTTCCAGAATTTAACTCAGGTATTTGACCTCTCATGGAGGGATGTTATGTTGCTCCTAAGCCAAACCCTAACTGCGGCTAAAACAGACAGCTCTGCAAGCATCAGAGGATTTCTGAGGTGAGCAATAGGTCTCCTATAGTAGGCCAAATGGGAAAAGAGAAGATAGAGAAAGTGAAGAAATAGGGGAAACACCATTCCCAGCAAGAAGAGAGGCAATACCTCTTGAAACCCTAATTGGAAGCCCCAGACTCTTCTATGGTGTTTTTCCTTTTTTCACTGTTTTCAATGGCCCTTTTATGATGTTCATTCAACCTGGGAGAAGTTAATTTCCACAAACCTTAAAATGCTTGGCTTAGAGTTGAGCTGGGGGAGAAAGAAAACCCAGAAGCCTGACATGCCGGCAAAAGGGTAAAAGTTTTTTTTACTAGTTGGGTTTTTGGCTTCTCTATCCCTGTGCAAACTGGCAAAAGAAATAATAAGGATCACTGTTTATATTCTCTGAAAAGCTTTAATTAATGAGAAAGGATTTGTGAGGTTGGCCTTAAATTGTAGACAATCTGGTGTGCTTTGTGTGTCTTTCTGTATGGTTCCGTCAAAAGAAAAGTTACTTTAGGTTAGGATGCAGGCCCAGGACCCCCTAAGCCTGCTGTTCAAGCCAGCCCAACAAAATGATCAGTAACAAACTTGGCTAAAGGCCTCCATCTTGCTTCTTGTCCTTGGGAACATGACCTGTAACCATATGGCAATAATTTGTTTTAGTCTCCACCATTTTACAATGTTTGCTGACTTCTTATGCTAAGTCAGTTTCTGGGTGAGGGCCACAAAATCAGATAAGTCACTTTGTCAATCAGGGAGCTGCCAGCTGATTGATCAAGGGCAGGGTTTACAAAATATCTTAAGCACTAATCTTGAGAGCTGTTAAGGGATGGTCAAAATCTTGTAGCCTCCAGCTGTGTGACTCCTAAGCCATGGATTTTAATCTTGTGGCTAGTTTCTTGGTCTGGTACCCAGGCAAGAGGAAAGTATATTTTAAGAAAGGGCTGACATCATCTTTGTTTTAGAGTCTAAACTGTAAACCAGGTGCCTCCCAAAGTTGGTTCAGCCTACACCCAGGGACAGACAAGGACAGCTTGCAGGCTTGAAAAAAAATAGAGTTCTTTGGGTCAGATCTCTTTCACCATCTCAGTCATAATTTTGCAATGACAGTTTCAAAAGCCATTTGTCACCCCTTAGAAACACCTTGTACACTCACTGTTACATCGTAACATAATTAAGGCTTGTTGGTTTCACCTGTGAGGTTACTTTTTGTAAAGTTCAAAAGCTGAAAATCTTAACTGCTTGACATAGCTAAAGTTGAGTAACAGTGGATTTAAAGGGATTTTGTTAAAGAGTGCTCAGCTTAATTAAAACTGGGTATTCAAGTAATAAATATATTTAAAAGGCCTTTATATTTTTCTCTTCTTGGATCTTGTTTTCTGGAAAAAGTTTATTTTTTTTTTTAAATTTTTCTCAGTTGACTAAATCATCTTTCTCCATTTTATTTCTTGACACTCTTAATGCATGCATGAGAGGCCCTAAGATAACTTCTGGTAGTCCTTGGGAAAAACAGAGGAGGTGCCACAGACCCCATTGTGGGGGGGAAAAAACTCTCTTTTCCTCATGAAACCCCAGGAACTAAGAGCAGATAGTGCCCTCTCAAAATTAAAGGCTCTTTTCAGTTTTGCTTTGTGTGTTCTGATTATTTTGAGTTTTGGGTGTATCAAAATACTTCACATTAGGAGAGAGCTTTGATGTGTAATAAGGAGGTAGGAAATACACTTTAAGGGATGGCAAATAGTAGTTATAAATCAGAGAAGCATGCTCTTGGCCGCCTGAAAGATATGGAAACATCCCCACCCCTGACTGAGAGATGATACTCCCATGGGGGATAAAGCTGATTAGCTTTGGGTTGCCTTGCAATGAAATACATGGTAGAAGCAATGCACTATTTTCTCCCATAGTATCTCCCTCCTTTAGGGGATCAAAAATCTAGTATAAAATGGCACATTTAATTTTAGGGATCTGCCTTTGCCTTCAGCTGTGCCTACTTATTAGGCCCTAAAAATGAATGCTGCCTGGCCCAGTTCCACCAAAGGCTCCACCCTGAAGCCAGTAATCCAATTAAGAAACTGACAAATGAAAACTCTTACAAGTGCTGAATCTTCTGTTTATGTCACTATATATGTGTTGTGTTTAATGTCTATAATAAAAGCTCTAATTAATTGGCTTAAAAAATAGTGCTTAAATCAAATATGTTTTAGTTCATGTGACTTTAATTTTTAAGAAATAAAAATAATCTTAAGGATTATTGGTAAAATGCAAGGGTCATCAAAATCCAAATAGGTGGTCTAAATCGTAAAACAGATACTAGGTTTGCTAAATGTTCAAAGGCTGCATACTGCATGATTTACAGATAAGTAAGGCCTGGGACACATGGAGTTAGATGCTGGAAAGAGTCAGATCTTATCTGCATTTCTGTCTGGGTCCTAGGCTCCACGCCTGGTACATAACTAGAATTGCTTACTAACCAGGTTTCTCACCAAATGTAAAAGTTGCTAAGAGTTAACAGTGCAGCATGTATTTAAGATCACTGAACAGTTTTAAAGGCAAGGTGTATAAAAACAGTAAAATGTGTTTTTTAGTAAAGGATTATAAGAAACTATAGAAATGTAAATATTGCCCAGGGATGAGGAATTATCTTAAATTTGATAAGATAAAGCTATAGGTTTAAGCATGTTGTGGAAAGATGGTCTTTTCATAAATTGAGCATTGAAATAAAAGCATCGCAAGGCTGTCTCAAGACACTAATCTTCCCTTTAGCAAAATGGGTTATAAAAGGTTTGTAAGGACTTCATCTCATGGTCAAATTGGTTAAGATTAGATGGAACTGTCTTTAGGGTGGCATTTAATCAAATTGGGGTTAACATTAATAAATTAGTGCAAAGGTAAAATTTGGCTTTGAGCAGGATTTTTATGTAATAGTAAAGGCTAATGAAAGGTTTTTGCCTTTTGAGTCATCATTTTGGCAAAATAAGTAATGTATGACTATCTGGAATTCTATTTCTTAATATCAACTGTTTTAAACCTCTAACATTTAACAGACATCCCAAAATCAAACTTCAAGTTTCAAAATTGTCTTTCCTGATGCCGGGCTTTCTAGATAGTTCAGGGTGCCCCTGAAACATTCAGAAAATAGGTGAACAGGATTATTTGACATGTTTAATCACATTGGGATTGCCAAAATGATGTCCAATCTTAACTTATATTTTTGTGAATAATACCAATATATGTTCCAAAATTGTATGGGATTTCTAAAATTCTAATGTCTAAGTATATGCTATCAATCATAATTAATTTTAAAATTATTGTAAACCATGGAGATAACTAAACTTTGCCAGTCATGTTTTTAACTGTAACTACCCTGAAAATTTTGTCACTTACAGACAATTTTTATCTTGTTGTGTTCCTTCTCAAAAGATGGGACATAATCAAGCTATAAGACTTTAACAGCTGTTCTCAAATGCAGATTTCCAATAGCTTTGAAGATTGTAACATTACAAAAAATGTACAGGACTCATGAAGAACTGACGTGTTTATGAATATCAAGTGAAACAAGAGTTGACTTAAATGGACTGTACTCAGAAAGCTAAAGCAATCTTTTTGACTTTTGCTTAGGATATTGCTGATCCTTATTTTGTTTTTCAGAGTCAAGGAAATTTATTTTGAATTATGTACAGCCTTTAATAATTGAGTAAGTTATACTCTTGTGAACAAAATTCAGAGCAGGTTTGTTTCCCTGTACCTGGTTCCTCTAGAATTTGGAAACTATCTGTGAGTAATCTTAACTTATGGCAATATAGTTGTTTGCATCAGTGCCACAAAAAGTCTTTTTTTTTTTCAATAAGACACAATTAGAAAAACTGGTTATTTCATCAAAGCTTTGACAAGAAGTGTATGCTTCCCCCTTTAAAGAGTGAATCTCAGCTTGCAGAGCTGATAAAAGCACCTTGGGGAAGACTGGCCTCATACCTTGTCTACACAGTCCCTGGACAGGTTTCTTAACCTGTGGTCAGTAAAGAATGTCACTTTCTAACATGTCCAGGACCTCCAAGTTTATCTTGGGACCTTAAGTGTAAAGTATTTGGGGATAAAAACCCATTGCTGAACTCGGCTTGAAGAGGTCTTATCTGAGATTCCTTAGGGAACAGAGTTCCATCAAAGCCAACCCAAAAGGCCTATGTAGGGAAAATTATTCTTGCTGCACTTTATGCAAATATTCGTGCCAAGTATAAGGCTAAAGTTTATTCTACAAACAACACAGTCCTATCATAATTTGTTTTTACCAAAAATGAGGACTGGAGAGAGAAATTGTGCTCCAAAGCTTATCATACATTTGTCATTAAATCCTAGTCACAATAATTGTTTTTAAGCTTTTTACCTACATTTTAGACTAACCCTGCTTATTTCTGTGAATCAAGTGGTGATCTCCTGCAGCTTGGAAGAAACAAAAAGAGATGGGTAATGTGAAAATCTGGATAAATATGCTAGTTCTGGGCAATTATTCAGCAAATTCTGCCAGGTAATGAAAGTGAGTAGGGTGCCCATAACCCAGAGGTTTATTTGTTTGGGAAAATAAAGCCAAGAAACTTCACAGATCCCCCAAAGGGAAATTCTATATCTTGGCAGGTACAATTTTAAGATGAAAATTATCTACTACACCACACTTGCAAAAATTGCTATACTCCCTCTACTACTCGCAGTAGGGCTATACACAGTTGCACCTTCTAACTGGAATATCAGACAGAGAGTTTCCATTGCTATGGTATTTTGCTTAATTATTATCCTTACAGGATGGATAACAGTTACCAAAAAAAAAAAAAAAGAAAAAGAAGTATGAAAGTTTTACTATCACTGAATCTTCTAGAACTTCTTATTGGGTTTGGTAATGTCACATCCTGGCTATATACAAAGGTTATAAAGGAAAAATATTTTACCTAAGAAAGGATCTTGTATGATAAATACTTCTCCTAAAGAGAACAGTTGGTTGTTTAAAAGAGGGATGTTTAGGAGAAGTCAGAAGGTTTGAGCATGTTATAGATGGTTGTGGAAGTCATGAAAAGATTACAAGGATGGTAAATACCTGTCCTAAAAAGAATAGTTGGTCGTTTAAAAAGAAGGATGTTAGGACAAGTTTAAGCACGTCTTAGATGGTCTGTTGAAGTAATGAGGGAATTAATAATTACAGGAAAGATTTAGCCAAGGTTAACACTAAAGTTACTCTAGCTACCCAAATCTAATACCACTTATTCAAAAAAGAATCTTACTTGTATATTAATATTTCAGCAGCATCTGGTGGAGGAAAACCAGTATCATGACCCATTGGAATGACTGACAGCAATCAAACTCCAAATGGAGTTTTAGACTGAACCACAGATGGATGTATCTTTCTTCCAGGAACCCTTAGATCGACCCAAGAGGAGCCCTAGCTGCTGTGCCCCACATGATGCCCCTTTTCAGCAGGAAGTAGCCAGAAAGAGTCATCATCAAACACCCCTTAACAGCAGTTAGGGTTACCACTCCAGAGAGGGGAATGATAGAGGAGTTAAGAAGAAATCACTTAGGCAGATAGCAAGGGGTATAACAGTCTTTGGTAATGCTTTTCTTTTTAATGAAACACAGCCCCAAATCATTTACTAACAAACAGTAGCCTGGAAAGTTGACCTGCAGACATAGACAAGCAAGCTGGGAGTTTGTGTGGGTGAATGCCAGCAGAAACTAAGCACTAGACATTTTCAAGATGGTGGCTCCATCTTCTCTTCTCTGTTAGCTATGTGCACTGTAAGGAGTAGACAAGATGGTGCTGATCAACTGGACAGCCCATTCGCATAATAACATTAGGGTTGGGAGACCAGACTTCCCTGTGCATTATGTAAACATCATACATGATCGAACCAATCTATAAGCCCTGTGTAAATCAGACACCGCCACCTCAAACTGGACTACAAAATTTGGCACATTTGCTGTCAGCCAGTCCTTTCTGCTCAGAAACCCCTTTCCCTATAAAGAAAGCTGTTTATCTTTCTCTTCTCTTCTGCCTATTAAACCTCAGCTCCTGTACTCCTTGTGTTTGTCCGTGTCCTAAGTTTTCCTGGCGGGTGACAACGAACACCAGGTTTATACCACAGACAATGTAGCTGCTTCATCTTGAGTTCCATCTATGGCACTAAGGTACTTTCTCTTTGGTCCCACCGCTGCAATTTTCTAACCTGTGTTCTAGTGCCTCCCAGGCACTAACCTTCAGAATTTCAGAACTTTTTTCTGGCTGTGTGCTTGAACTTGGAACTTAATGGCAGAATCGGTTTTATCTTTACTGCTTGTTTGTTCCTATTCCTGTTTGTGTTCCCCTCAAAAAATCATATGTTAAAATCCTAACCCCAAAGTGAGAGTATTAAGAAATGGGGATTTGGGGACAATATTAGGTAATGAAGACATAATCCTTGTGAATGAATTAGTACCCTCATAAAAAGAGAAATGAAAGAACACATTTTTTTTCTCTCTCTGCTCTCCCCCACATGAGACTACAATGTGAAGATTGTCATCAACAAACCAGGAAGTGAAGCCTTTCCAAACAACAGATTTGTTGCCACCTTGACCTTGGACTTCCCAGCCTCCAGCCTGTGAGAAAAAATAATTTCTGTTTTTGAAGCCACCTGGCGCTATTTTTGTTATAGTAGCCTGAACTAAGAGAGTAGACAACAGTGATAACTCTGGATTAAAATATACCTATTACTGGAATTAAGTTAGTGTAAATTTGAAGCAGACTGATAAATTGAGATATATATTGTAAGCCCTATTGAAACAATTAAGAAAATAACTAAAAAAGTAAATTAATTAAAAAAAGAATGAGTTGATTTTTCATTGTAGAATTCAATTGTTTTGGATGGGGGAAAGTGATTTGTAACACATAATTAAATAATTACAATCTTTTTGAAATAGTTTCCTCATCAGTAAAATGGAGGTAACCCTACATACTAGTTAGGCTATAAAGAATGATGAACATAAGTTTGGCAGTAGACAGGTTGGAATTTTTAACCTCAACTTGTAGCTTTGTGACTTCAAGTGCATCACTAAACCTTAAGCTGTCTCTTTAACTGTAAAGAGGGAACAATAACCATAATCATATCTTAAACCATTATAATTGAATAATATAGTAAAAATTTTGCACAATCAACAATGAGTATTAACTATCATAATTGGATTGTGAAAATATTTATAAACTCTGAAGAATTTATTACTATTGGTATTCATTATTTTTTCCCACAAGCTAATCTGATTATTTGTAAAGGCAAAAATGGAAAAAAACAAATCCACCATATAATTATCACTTGGCTTCTTAACATCTATGCTATTTTTAAACAATAATGTCAATATGTGAACTATTTTAAATTGGTTTTTCTATGAAAATATTTGCTGCTTATTGGCATACACTGTGCAATACTATGCCTCTTACATCTATTATAGAATTAAGGTCTGTGTGATCAAATGCAATTCAACAAATATTTATTGCATCTTCTAAGTGTTAGTCACTATGTTAGGTGCTTGTGATGTAGAAGTTTAAAAACATATGTTTACTAGTAAAAAAGATTAGTTTTTATAATATTTTAGAAGAAACAGCACTAGAATTGAGAAAAGTAACATTAGGATAAAATTAGAATTTTGAAGGAGGTTCTCCAGGCAAAGAAATGGACAAGGCATTTCAAATTGTATTATTAACTGCCTATTAGAGAGAAGGTAATATGTATTGAAAGTTTTGCAACAAATATATCACTTACACAATAACTACTCCATTTCATAGATGAATCTAATGAATTTGATGAGGTAACTACATCTAGTAGAGGGTAGGCCAAGGCTCAAATCTAAGCTTGCCTGTTTCCAACACTTCTGCATCTAATCACTGACATACATAAATAAGGCAATTATCAGAGAAGCATTTCAAACTTTCCTGAACATTCCGAAAGGGAAAGGCATCATATCATAAACAAGAAGAAAACAACAAAGATTTCCAAAGGAAGATATGTAGAAAGGGATAGGAAAAAGAGGAGGAAATAAAACAATAGCAAGTATCAACAACAAGAGTCAAGATGGGGCAGAGTGGGAAATGAGAGTATTTTAGGGTTCAACAGAGAAACAGAAGCAATAGGAGAATCTATTATCTATCTATCTGTCTATCTATTAATATAGAGAGGTTTATTTATTGTAAGGCATTTGCTTACACAATTATGGAAGCAAAAAAATCCCATACTATGGAAGCAAAATCTCAAGCAAGCTTGAGACTGAAGAAGACCAGTGGTGCAGTTCCGAGGACCAGAAGGCCAATGGTGTGAGTCCTAGTCTGAGAACAGGGAAAGAATGGTGTCCCAAATCAAACAGAGAGAGTGAATCCTCCCTTCCTATCTTTTGTTCTATTGGGCATCATAAAAGATTAGATGATGGCCACATACATTGTGAAGGTCAGTCTGCTTTTCTTAGACTACTGATTCAAATACTAATCTCCAGAAACATCCTCAGAGATATAACCAAAAACAATATTCAGCCAAATATCTGAGCACCCTGCAATCCAGTCAAGTTGACACATAAAATTAACCATCATAAAGTGCAAAATTTGTTAAATGTCTGAGCTTGCAGATCCTTTTAAGGGCAACATCCCAGACCCTGAACTCCAGGACAAAATACCCTAATCCAGTGAACTGCCCAACTAGTGTTCTGAAACACAGGATGAAACATCAGTTCAATCATGGATGGCTAAACCTAAAAAATTATTCCTTAATAATAACTGTATGTCTGGAAGAAATCAACCTTCTAAAAAAGAAAAAGTTGAGGAACTGCAAAAGGAAATTCAAACTCCTCTGAAACTCTTAACAGGCAAGAAAAAATATGCAGTTGGATAAACTGACATTTACCAAACTTAAAATTTTGATACAAATATTCATAGGGTTCATCCCTTTTCTTCTGTCTAGCACTACTAGCTAGAAGTCAGAATTTATAAAGGACAGCCCAATATTTCCCCTCCTGGTCCCACAGCAGACACAAAAAATTCATAATGAAACATTTTTTCTTTAATCTGCAAAAAGTCTATTATTCCTTCTTAATGCCATATTTTGGGCAACTACTCTTAATCAGGTAAGATGCATGAAATAAATTTGCTTGCAATACTGTTGCTGGGTGAACATCAGCAAGTTACTGATGGTAGTCGTTCTCTGCAGGATCATTTTTGCCTCCTGAGGGACATTTGGTAATTGGAGACATTTTATACTCTCTTAGCTGAAAGAGGTGCTGCTGACATCTAGTAGGTAGAGGTCAGAGATGATGTCAAACATTCTACAATGCATAGGAAAGACCACCTGAAAAAATATATATATTCAGTTCAAACTCTCAATACTGCTAAGGTTGAGGGCCTTTAGAATTAGCCTGAACTCACAAAGTTTTCCAATAAAAGGAGGCACTTTCCTTTCCCTTCCACCTTATAAGCTTTAATTCATCCTTAAAAGGTTTGGGTGAATATAATTTTCTTTTTTCTTTTTTTTTTTATTATACTTTAAGTTTTAGGGTACATGTGCACATTGTGCCGGTTCGTTACATACGTATACATGTGCCATGCTGGTGCGCTGCACCCACTAACTCGTCATCTAGCATTAGGTATATCTCCCAATGCTATCCCTCCCCCCTCGCCCCACCCCACCACAGTCTCCAGAGTGTGATATTCCCCTTCCTGTGTCCATGTGATCTCATTGATCAGTTCCCACCTATGAGTGAGAATATGCGGTGTTTGATTTTTTGTTCTTGCGATAGTTTACTGAGAATGATGATTTCCAATTTCATCCATGTCCCTACAAAGGACATGAACTCATCATTTTTTGGGGCTGCATAGTATGCCATGGTGTATATGGGCCACATTTTCTTAATCCAGTCTATCATTGTTGGACATTCGGGTTGGTTCCAAGTCTTTGCTATTGTGAACAATGCCGCAATAAACATACATGTGCATGTGTCTTTATAGCAGCATGATTTATAGTCCTTTGGGTATATACCCAGTAATGGGATGGCTGGGTCAAATGGTATTTCTAGTTCTAGATCCCTGAGGAATCGCCACACTGACTTCCACAATGGTTGAACTAGTTTACAGTCCCACCAACAGTGTAAAAGTGTTCCTATTTCTCCACATCCTCTCCAGCACCTGTTGTTTCCTGACTTTCTAATGATTGCCATTCTAACTGGTGTGAGATGGTATCTCATTGTGGTTTGGATTTGCATTTGTCTGATGGCCAGTGATGATGAGCATTTTTTCATGTGTTTTTTGGCTGCATAAATGTCTTCTTTTGAGAAGTGTCTGTTCATGTCCTTCGCCCACTTTTTGACAGGGTTGTTTGTTTTCTTCTTGTAAATTTGTTTGAGTTCATTGTAGATTCTGGATATTAGCCCTTTGTCAGATGAGTAGGTTGCGAAAATTTTCTCCCATGTTGTAGGTTGCCTGTTCACTCTGATAGTAGTTTCTTTTGCTGTGCAGAAGCTCTTTAGTTTAATTAGATCCCATTTGTCAATTTTGGCTTTGGTTGCCATTGCTTTTGGTGTTTTAGACATGAAGTCCTTGCCCATGCCTATGTCCTGAATGGTAATGCCTAGGTTTTCTTCTAGGGTTATTATGGTTTTAGGTTGAACGTTTAAGTCTTTAATCCATCTTGAATTGATTTTTGTATAAGGTGTAAGGAAGGGATCCAGTTTCAGCTTTCTACATATGGCTAGCCACTTTTCCCAGCACCATTTATTAAATAGGGAATCCTTTCCCCATTGCTCGTTTTTCTCAGTTTTGTCAAAGATCAGATAGTTGTAGATATGTGGCATTATTTCTGAGGGCTCTATTCTGTTCCATTGATCTATATCTCTGTTTTGGTATCAATACCATGCTGTTTTGGTTACTGTAGCCTTGTAGTATACTTTGAAGTCAGGTAGTGTGATGCCTCCAGCTTTGTTCTTTTGGCTTAGGATTGACTTGGTGATGTGGGCTCTTTTTGGGTTCCATATGAACTTTAAAGTAGTTTTTTCCAATTCTGTGAAGAAAGGCAGTGGTAGCTTGATGGGGATGGCATTGAATCTGTAAATTACCTTGGGCAGTATGGCCATTTTCACGATATTGATTCT
Source organism: Homo sapiens (assembly GCF_000001405.40). NCBI lineage: Eukaryota > Metazoa > Chordata > Mammalia > Primates > Hominidae > Homo > Homo sapiens. Next base: position 49,729,697 of record NC_000011.10, on the reverse strand, counting down.
TCCTACCCATGAGCGTGGAATGCTCTTCCATTTGTTTGTATCCTCTTTTATTTCCTTGAGCAGTGGTTTGTAGTTCTCCTTGAAGAGGTCCTTCACATCCCTTGTAAGTTGGATTCCTAGGTATTTTATTCTCTTTGAAGCAATTGTGAATGGGAGCTCACTCATGATTTGGCTCTCTGTTTGTCTGTTGTTGGTGTATAAGAATGCTTGTGATTTTGGTACATTGATTTTGTATCCTGAGACTTTGATAAAGTTGCCTATCAGCTTAAGGAGATTTTGGGCTGAGACAATGGGGTTTTCTAGATACACAATCATGTCGTCTGCAAACAGGGACAATTTGATTTCCTCTTTTCCTAATTGAATACCTTTTATTTCCTTCTCCTGCCTAATTGCCCTGGCCAGAACTTCCAACACTATGTTGAATAGGAGTGGTGAGAGAGGGCATCCCTGTCTTGTGCCAGTTTTCAAAGGGAATGCTTCCAGTTTTTGCCCATTCACTATGATATTGGCTGTGGGTTTGTCATAGATAGCTCTTATTATTTTGAAATACGTCCCATCAATACCTAATCTATTGAGAGTTTTTAGCATGAAGGGTTGTTGAATTTTGTCAAAGGCTTTTTCTGCATCTATTGAGATTATCATGTGGTTTTTGTCTTTGGCTCTGTTTATATGCTGGATTACATTTATTGATTCACATACATTGAACCAGCCTTGCATCCCAGGGATGAAGCCCACTTGATCATGGTGGATAAGCTTTTTGATGTGCTGCTGGATTTGTTTTGCCAGTATTTTATTGAGGATTTTTGCATCAATGTTCATCAAGGATATTGGTCTAAAATTCTCTTTTCTGGTTGTGTCTCTGCCCGGCTTTGGTATCAGAATGATGCTGGCCTCATAAAATGAGTTAGGGAGGATTCCTTCTTTTTCTATTGATTGGAATAGTTTCAGAAGGAATGGTACCAGTTCCTCCTTGTACCTCTGGTAGAATTCGGCTGTGAATCCATCTGGTCCTGGACTCTTTTTGGTTGGTAAACTATTGATTATTGCCACAATTTCAGATCCTGAAATTCAGGTCTATTCAGAGATTCAACTTCTTCCTGGTTTAGTCTTGGGAGGGTTTATGTGTCGAGGAATTTATCCATTTCTTCTAGATTTTCTAGTTTATTTGCGTAGAGGTGTTTGTAGTACTGTCTGATGGTAGTTTGTATTTCTGTGGGATCGGTGGTGATATCCCCTTTATCGTTTTTTATTGCGTCTATTTGATTCTTCTCTCTTTTTTTCTTTATTAGTCTTGCTAGCGGTCTATCAATTTTGTTGATCCTTTCAAAAAACCAGCTCCTGGATTCATTACTTTTTTGAAGGGTTTTTTGTGTCTCTATTTCCTTCAGTTCTGCTCTGATTTTAGTTATTTCTTGCCTTCTGCTAGCTTTTGAATGTGTTTGCTCTTGCTTTTCTAGTTCTTTTAATTGTGATGTTAGGGAGTCAATTTTAGATCTTTCCTGCTGTCTCTTGTGGGCATTTAGTGCTATAAATTTCCCTCTACACACTGCTTTGAATGCGTCCCAGAGATTCTGGTATGTTGTGTCTTTGTTCTCGTTGGTTTCAAAGAACATCTTTATTTCTGCCTTCATTTCGTTATGTAGCCAGTAGTCATTCAGGAGCAGGTTGTTCAGTTTCCATGTAGTTGAGCGGTTTTGAGTGAGATTCTTAATCCTGAGTTCTAGTTTGATTGCACTGTGGTCTGAGAGATAGTTTGTTATAATTTCTGTTCTTTTACATTTGCTGAGGAGAGCTTTACTTCCCAGTATGTGGTCAATTTTGGAATAGGTGTGGTGTGGTGCTGAAAAAAATGTATATTCTGTTGATTTGGGGTGGAGAGTTCTGTAGATGTCTATTAGGTCCGCTTGATGCAGAGCTGAGTTCAATTCCTGGGTATCCTTGTTGACTTTCTGTCTCGTTGATCTGTCTAATGTTGACAGTGGGGTGTTAAAGTCTCCCACTATTAATGTGTGGGAGTCTAAGTCTCTTTGTACGTCACTCAGGACTTGCTTTATGAATCTGGGTGCTCCCGTATTGGGTGCATATACATTTAGGATAGTTAGCTCTTCTTGTTGAATTGATCCCTTTACCATTATGTAATGGCCTTCTTTGTCTCTTTTGATCTGTGTTGGTTTAAAGTCTGTTTTATCAGAGACTAGGATTGCAACCCCTGCCTTTTTTTGTTTTCCATTTGCTTGGTAGATCTTCCTCCATCCTTTTATTTTGAGCCTATGTGTGTCTCTGCACATGAGATGGGTTTCCTGAATACAGCACACTGATGGGTCTTGACTCTTTATCCAATTTGCCAGTGTGTGTCTTTTAATTGGAGCATTTAGTCCATTTACATTTAAAGTTAATATTGTTATGTGTGAATTTGATCCTGTCATTATGATGTTAGCTGGTGATTTTGCTCGTTAGTTGATGCAGTTTCTTCCTAGTCTCAATGGTCTTTACATTTTGGCATGATGTTGCAGCGGCTGGTACCGGTTGTTCCTTTCCATGTTTAGCGCTTCCTTCAGGAGCTCTTTTAGGGCAGGCCTGGTGGTGACAAAATCTCTCAGCATTTGCTTGTCTGTAAAGTATTTTATTTCTCCTTCACTTATGAAGCTTAGTTTGGCTGGATATGAAATTCTGGGTTGAAAATTCTTTTCTTTAAGAATGTTAAATATTGGCCCCCACTCTCTTCTGGCTTGTAGGGTTTCTGCTGAGAGATCCGCTGTTAGTCTGATGGGCTTCCCTTTGAGGGTAACCCGACCTTTCTCTCTGGCTGCCCTTAACATTTTTTCCTTCATTTCAACTTTGGTGAATCTGACAATTATGTGTCTTGGAGTTGCTCTTCTCGAGGAGTATCTTTGTGGCATTCTCTGTATTTCCTGAATCTGAACGTCGGCCTGCCTTGCTAGATTGGGGAAGTTCTCCTGGATAATATCCTGCAGAGTGTTTTCCAACTTGGTTCCATTCTCCCCGTCACTTTCAGGTACACCAATCAGACATAGATTTGGTCTTTTCACATAGTCTTATATTTCTTGGAGGCTTTGATCATTTCTTTTTATTCTTTTTTCTCTAAACTTCCCTTCTTGCTTCATTTCATTCATTTCATCTTCCATTGCTGACACCCTTTCTTCCAGTTGATCGCATCAGTTCCTGAGGCTTTTGCATTCTTCACGTAGTTCTCGAGCCTTGGTTTTCAGCTGCATCAGCTCCTTTAAGCACTTCTCTGTATTGGTTATTCTAGTTATACATTCTTCTAAATTTTTTTCAAAGTTTTCAACTTCTTTGCCTTTGGTTTGAATGTTCTCCCATAGCTCAGAGTAATTTGATCATCTGAAGCCTTCTTCTCTCAGCTCCTCAAAGTCATTCTCTGTCCAGCTTTGTTCCATTGCTGGTGAGGAACTGCGTTCCTTTGGAGGAGGAGAGGTGCTCTGCGTTTTAGAGTTTCCAGTTTTTCTGTTCTGTTTTCTCCCCATCTTTGTGGTTTTATCTACTTTTGGTCTTTGATGATGATTATGTACAGATGGGTTTTTGGTGTAGATGTCCTTTCTGTTTGTTAGTTTTCCTTCTAACAGACAGGACCCTCAGCTGCAGATCTGTTGGAATACCCTGCCATGTGAGGTGTCAGTGTGCCCCTGCTGGGGAGTGCCTCCCAGTTAGGCTGCTCGGGGGTCAGGGGTCAGGGACCCACTTGAGGAGGCAGTCTGCCCGTTCTCAGATCTCCAGCTGCGTGCTGGGAGAACCACTGCTGTCTTCAAAGCTGTCAGACAGGGACATTTAAGTCTGCAGAGATTACTACTGCTGTCTTTTTGTTTGTCTGTGCCCTGCCCCCAGAGGTGGAGCCTACAGAGGCAGGCAGGCCTCCTTGAGCTGTGGTGGGTTCCACCCAGTTTGAGCTTCCCGGCTGCTTTGTTTACCTAAGCAATCCTGGGCAATGGTGGGCGCCCCTCCCCCAGCCTCGCTGCCGCCTTGCAGTTTGATCTCAGACTGCTGTGCTAGCAATCAGCGAGACTCTGTGGGCGTAGGACCCTCTGAGCCAGGTGCAGGATATAATCTCGTGGTGCGCCATTTTTTAAGCCGGTCCGAAAAGCGCAGTATTCGGGTGGGAGTGACCCGATTTTCCGGGTGCGTCCGTCACCCCTTTCTTTGACTTGGAAAGGGAACTCCCTGACCCCTTGCGCTTCCCAAGTGAGGCAATGCCTCGCCCTGCTTCAGCTCGCGCATGGTGCGCGCACCCACTGACCTGCGCCCACTGTCTGGCACTCCCTAGTGAGATGAACCCGGTACCTCAGATGGAAATGCAGAAATCACCCATCTTCTGCATCTCTCACGCTGGGAGCTGTAGACTGGAGCTGTTCCTATTCAGCCATCTTCCCTCCTCCCCAGATAATTTTCTTTGTAAAGGAGAAAACATGTAAGCTTTGGAACCAGAAAAGGATGATTGTGCATCACTACTTACTAGCCCCATGTTTGACCAACTTTGTTTTCTTGGGCGCTATAACAAAATACAATAAAACAGGTCCCTTAAAACAACAGAAATACTGTCTCACAGTTCTGGAGGCTAGAAGAACAAACTGCAGGACCATGCTCCCTCTAAAACTTGTAGGGAAATTCTTCCTTGCCTCTTTCCAGCTTCTGAGGGTTTGACAGCAATCTTTGGTGTTCCTCGGCCTATGGATGCATCACTCCAATCCTCCATCTTCACATGGCCTTCTCTCTGTGCATGTCTGTCTCTGTATCCAAATTTCCCTCTTTTGTAAGGAAACCAGTTATACTGAATAAGGGCTCACACTAGTAATGTTTAACTCGATTAATAATAATAATTAATAATAATCTTTAACTCAAAATATGTTTAACTCAATTGACTCTGTAGAGGCCCTATTAAAAATAAGGTCACATTCTGTAGTAATGGGCATTTGGACTTTCACATCTCTTTTTTGGAGGCAGGAACATAATTCAACCAAAACACCAGTTTGCTTAATTTCCCAAAACTTCAGTTTCGTTATATGTAAAATGCAAATAATACTGACTGTCTGTAGCATTAATTGAAAGATTAAAATAAATGGACTAAGAAATAAACTATGGAAAACCAACTAGTATAGCAGCTGCTGTATCACAGGTGCTCAAATATATATATGGGCACCCTGTTATCCAGTCATATAAGTCATATATACACACACACACACACACACACACACACATAAACACACAGGTTTGTGTGTATGTGTGTATAAAACTTTCCCTTTTCTCCCAGGTATTTATGTCTCTTTGGTGTTCACACAAAACATGATGTATTTTTCTTTCCACTCGTTACATTATATTTGAACTATATATCCATTTGTCTATCTGGCTTGCTACTATTTTGATATTAGAAACTGTTGCAGTAATTTTTAGATTAATACCTAACTTTGTTTACTAATTAATAATTTACTTATCAAGTAAAGGACTAAATGGAAAAATGGATGGATGAACATGACTAAAGCTTACCAAAAATGCCCTTTATACCGGAATTTCTCTTAGTGGGTCAGAGTTTAGGTGGTATTCAAACGTATCAAAGGCATATACGTATTTTGCTTTTTGTATGTGTTTGTGTACATTCTCATTATTGTTACTTGTCAGTTTCCTAGGTTTCCGACTGTGATCTTTAGATTTTTTTGACTAGCCTACAAACTTAGATTTTAAAAATCCGAATGACATCTACAGCAGTTTCCCAGGAGCTTTCTTTCAGAATATCTGCCAAAATAATTTATTGCTGTCTTAGGTTATTTCATCTTGAGCAACATGAACATTCCGTCAAGCAGAGGGTATAGGGAAAAGTCTCATCAGTAAATAAGCTGGCTAAAATTTAGATGTCCATCAATCTCTGTTAAATTTTATCTCATATACCCTGAGATAGGAGAGTAATATAACCATTTAAAAATAAAACTTATTTCTTGCCCATTTACTATATTTGGAAGAAAAAAATAGTGGATAATTAGGAAGTGGAAAATTTTGGAAGAAAATAATTAGTAGACTTACTAATTATTTATAAGGGAAAGAACTGAGAACAGTAATTTTAAAATATATCCATGTTCTTGAATATTTCCACCCTTAAGTAACTACAGAGGAAATGGACTGATTTACCACGAAAGATTACTATAATAATAACCTACAGATTGAAATTTAAGCTCCATTTAGGGGCTGGAACCAATTATTTATAATACTAGAATGGTCTGAAATAATCTTGTATTATCCTGCAAAAAAAATCTGAAGTGGGAATAAGCCCACACCTCATTTATGTGTATAAAACAATCTCAGCCTTACATCTTTTAAGAAAAGTCTGAATGACTGCCTTATTTCCACATTTCTTTGCATAAATAAGGCAGGGCAAAAGTTTTGTCAGCTGATTAAATTTATATGCAATTTTGGTAAGACATTGTTTTCTAGTTCCACAATATATTTTTGTCCAGTCCCCCGAAATTTGAGTTTGATTCACTCACAAAGTTGATCCTCCCAACTTCATTTAATAAAATGTAAGAAGACTTTAAAAGATATATTAGGAATAACTAGTTAGATATGGAGACTGTCTCATATTAATTATTTATTTCATGAGTGTCTGCTAAATATATAAACAACTCTGCTTGTAATTATTTATGGGTACCCAGGTGGCATAAAAAATGAAGCAGAGACAGAAAATTAGATGTAGCTTCTACCTTAGATTGATAAAAACCATAAATGCAGAACTACACAGACTAGAGTGGATAGTATTAAAAACTATATGTATAGTGATGCACTGGTAAATGTATAACAACCTGGTTTCTGAGGAAGAAAAAAATCTCTGCTTTCTAACATTAGTTGATTTGCATGGCACAAGCACTCCTATCATGACCAGTTTCAAACCACAAATGTGAAATCACTGAACATAGATTTGGGAAGAGATGGACACAACTCTTGAAAGTCAGTGTGACAAATTGAAACACACCACTGCTTACATATAGATATGTAAAGTGGATGACTATTTTAACAGATACAAAAGCAAAGAATCTATGTGAATTTTTAACTAAAACTGAAAATATTATATACCTAAAAGCATGTTGGTTAAAATGATCATTTTGAATATCTAAATCTACACAGTCATAATTATACTGATACTATTAAAACATGGTATAATGGCCTTCTGTATGGAGCTCATATTAATTGTAATAAAATAAATATTCAATTATATAAAATTTTAGAGATCATCTACTGTATATTAGACATTGTGCTATGAACAGGAGATACACAGATGGCTAGGACTTAGTTTCTATTTTTAAATTATAAAAAGGGCCACCAAATGGATAATTCCAGTAGATAGAAGAATAAATACTAAGATAGAGGTAAGCATCTGTCCCGCAGTACAGAGAAGAGCCATTTAGCCCAGTCTTGTTTGGGATGGTTTTCTGGGAAAATGATGTTGTCAAAACCACCTTATGAAACACAGGCTTTGTTACTTTAGAGTTATTCCTAGTATTGCCAACTACAACTTCGATCCCATATTTGAAGTGATCTCTATAAATTTTGTTGAAGGTAAAGCAGGTCCATGATTTTGTGGGGATGGTAAACAGAGGCTTAAAATAAGATAGAACTTTTAGGCCAGTTATCAGATCTTTAATGGAACTTAAACATATTACCTGACGTGGACAGGTAGGGAGAGCCCTAGAGGAATGCTGATGGATTGGGTAACTTGTGAGATCCGTGTGTGAGCTTAGTCAAGTCATTTTCTGGTATGTCAGTTTCCTTATCAATGGAAAAATAATGGTTTGGGGTGGATAATAATAATAAAATAATAGCTAATATCTATTGATTGACTTTGATGTTGTTATATCCCTTGACCTACATTAATTCACTTAGTTCTCACAACAATCCTATAAAGTTGATATCCTTCTTTCTCTTTTTATTTTAGATAAATCTGAGATAATTGTAAGCTATATACAATTTCAATGTTAGGAAAGACCTGAGGTAGTATTCCAACCTAGTTCTTTCTGACTCTAATCTCTTAGACATTTCCTGAAGTCGTTTCCAGCCTTCATGTTCTTTGACCCCAGAAGTATCTTGGAATGTTTCCCTAATTGCTGTGATGGCAACACAGCAGAGCTAGGGAAATCAAAGACCTAGGCTATGTCCCTTCATGTTTGTGCATTATGGTGAGTGAGCTCTGAAAATGCCAGGGAATTTTGCCATCAAGTCTTCACATTAACTTTTCAGCAATATTCCTCAGTTTAGGAGGGAGGCCTATCCACTCCTTGTCCTTTGAAAAGTGATCATTTGCTTGATTGCACTCAACAGAAGACTTCCCATAGCCTCTGATATTTTCTTTTTCATTTCTTCTGAGTTGTTTATTTTTAATTTCTTAACATTTTTGAAGCCGCCTATTCTGAATGCATCTCAAACTTAGGGCTAAAAAGCCAAATGCTTCAATTTTGTTTTCCCATCTCTTAGGCAAACAGCCAAAATAAATTCCATAATTGAGCCAGGTTTTTCCATAACTCTGGAATTATATAAGTAGTTCCCATTTCAGGGTGTAGTTCCCAACCTTTTCTATATTTCTTAGCATGGCTAAATTCTTCTTATTCTTTATGATTCAGACGATCCCCTGAGAAGGTCCCAAAATGCCCCTGTGTTAACTTTATATGCTGCTTTTCTCTTTCTGGCTTAGGCTGCAGACTGCCTAAGGGCAGAGAAAAGTTTCTTTTGTTGTTGTTGTTGGTGGTTTGTTTTTTTAAATGAGTTTATCTTTTGAACCTGATGCAATGCCAGTATAACTTAGAGTGGAAGAACTTGAGATCTGTAGTTAGGATGTCTAGGTTTAATTCTTACCTTTGCTACTTAATAGTCATGTTTACTTGGGAACATTTAAAAATTTCCCCCAGACTCACATTCTGTCTGGGAAGAGAAGATTCAACAACTCACTTCAAAAGGCTTTTGTGAGGATTAAATGGTTCATGTAAAGCACTTGGCATGGTATCTAGCACATACTGAGTATTCAAAAACCATTATTATTTTTATTAGGTACTCAAATGTTAAATGAAGAGTAAGAAAATGAATGTAATTATTCATTCAGAAAATATTTATTGGTGCTAGACCCATTTCTAAGACCTGGAAGGGTAGCAGACAGCACATCCAAGTTGCTCCCTGGTTTTTCTAGAGCTTACATTCTCTCAAAGGGAGAAAGACACCAAACAGAAAAATAAATATGTGTGAAAATAAAGCAGAGTGGCCGGGCACAGTGGTTTACGCCTGTAATCCCAGCACTTTGGGAGGCCGAAGCAGGCGTATCATGAGGTCTGGATTTCCAGGCCAGCCTGGCCAATGTGGTGAAACCCCGTCTCTACTAAAAATACAAAAATTAGCCGGGCATGGTGGTATGCGCCTGTGGTCCCAGGTACTAGGGAGTCTGAGGCAGAAGAATCTCTTGAATCCAGGAGGCGGAGGTTGCAGTGAGCCGAGATCGTGCCACTGCACTACAGCCTGGGCGACAGACCAAGACTCCATCTCAAAAAAAAAAAAAAAAAAAAAAAAAAAAAAGCAAAGAAAAGGAAAGAAAAGAAACCAGAGTAAGAGGACAAGCAACAGCAGGGGAAGTGTTATTTTAGATAAGGTAACCAGAGATAGACTCCTGTTTATGATAATATTTATTCATGCACCTGAGTGAAAAGAGGGATAGATCTGTAACTCTGTGGGTTGGGGCAGGGGCGGAGCAAAAGCAAAGGCCCTGAGGCTAGAGGGTTTCTGTCATCATCAAAGAAAAGCAAGAGAAAGGACTGATTTGGTAGAAGAGGAGATATGAGAGGATGTTTAAGAGGGAGAATGATAGGAGAAGAGGGTGAGCATCAAAGTGTGACACATTTTTAAACTAGTACAACTTCTGTGGAAAACAGTATGGAGATTTCTCAAAGAACTAAAAATAGAATTACCATTTGATTCAGCAATCCCACTACTGGCTATCTGCCCAAGGGAAAAGAATTCATTATATCACAAAGATGCCTGCTCGCATATGTTTATCACAGCATTATTCACAATAGAAACAATATGGAATCAACCTAAGTGTCTATCAAGAGATGATTGGATAAGGAAAATGTGGCATATATACTTAATGGAATACTATTCAGCCATTTAAAAGAAGAAATCATGTCTTTTGCAGCCATGAGGATGGAACAAGAGGCCATTATCTTAAGTAAAACAAATCAGACACAGAAATACAAATTCAACATTCTCACTTATAAGTGGGAACTAAAATAACATGTTTGCATGAATGTAGAATGTGTAACGATGGATAATAGAGATTAGGAAGATTGAGTAGTGGAGAGGAGCACAGATTATGAGCAATTACTTAATAGGTACAACATACATTATTTGGGTGATGAACACCCTAAAAGATCTGACTTTACCACTGTGCAATTTAGGGATATAACAAAATTATACTTGCATTCCATATATTTATTAAAAAAGGTGTGACAGATTTTTAGGGATTGTTGGCCAAGTAAAAACTATAGATTTCATGCTGAGTGAGATGGAAGGAATTTCAGGGTTTGGAATAGCATTATGAAATGAATTGAAGATGCTCTCACTGAGAATGAAATAAATGATTAAACGGTCTCGAGATAGACTCAGATAATTAAGGGTATATTAGCGAACTGATGAAGAAGATGCATTAAAAAGATAACATTCGGGGAAGGGCAGAGAGTTGACAAATGAGGTGTTAAGAAGTAAAACTAGACTGACCTCACAAAAGAGAAAATTAAGACAAAGGCATTGTGATTTATGCACAATTGTCAATTTGTACATGTACATATATGGGTCCACTTGTCAAGCTTTCATTGCCTACAGCTCTTTTGACTTTTTATTTTCCTTCAGGAGCCCATACTTTAAAAACATTTTCTCAACCAAAGATAATTTATTTATAATTAATTCATGCCATCATATTTGTTCAAAGCCATAAGTAACCTCAATCTCAACTTCCAATGGGCAACAGCAAACCAATGTCATCCTCTCCTGGAGTCACCATTCTAGCCAAGAGCAAATGAACCTATGATTTCCATCAACCTGTACTGCCTTATTGCAATTAATATATTCTATCCCTTGGTTTCTTTTAAACACTGGAAATAGCTTTAGCTTGTATAATCCCTTTTCTTTTTCGGTGGAATCCTAGGAGTCTCTGAACCATAAGTGTGGGATTCAAATTACTCATGTAAGCCTACAGATAGAATGTGTATCTTACATAACCATTATATACATATTCCATCATATACATGCATGTTTTACACACAATGCATTTTATCTCTAGAATATATGTATATACTGTGTATATAGTGCTTTCAAATAAGGTCATATTCACAGGTTTACACAGTTAGAATGTGGACTTATCATTGTAGGGAATACCATTCAATTCACCACAGAGGTATTTATTGGAAAAATGTGTATTGGAAAGGAGAACTATCAGGCTGCATTATTTGTTAAACATCTAAGATTATTATGTTAATATAAAAGATCTCATAAACAGAAGCTCTTATTATCTAGTCAATAGTTGTTTTATTTCTTATTGATATATTATTATGCTGCTGAATTGTGAATTTAATTTGAGGCATGAATGTGTCATACATCTTCATCCAATCAGAAGATTCAGTTCAGATGTGTCTATATAATATATGTGTTTATCTTTCAGAAACTTTGTAAGTAAAGAATATTACCCTTAGAGATAAGTCACTCTCACTGGAGAGAAGATTGTGAGGTAGGGAAGAATGTGGAAATTAACCATCTCTGAGTACATGTTCCCAACGATAGGGCCATATTGATGAGGGGTCGGAAAGCAGGAGCCTGCCAAAGAGCAAAAGATAGGCCTGTGTGGACAAGAGGTTACTTTATTTTATTATTCATTCATTCATTCATTCATTTATTCATTTACTTATTTTGAGATGGAGTCTTGCTCTGTCACCCAGACTGGAGTGCAGTGGTACAATCTCAGCTCACTGCAGCCTCTGCCTCCCAGGTTCAAGTGATTCTCGTGTCAGCCTCCCGAGTAGCTGGAATTATTGGTGCCCACCACTACACCTGGCTAAGTTTTGTATTTTTAGTAGAGACGGGGTTTCGCCAGGTTTGTCAGGCTGGTCTGGAATTCCTGACCTCAAGTAATCTGTCCACCTCGGCCTCCCAAAGTGTTGGGATTACATGCATGAGCCACCATGCCTGGACAAGGTTACTTTATTAAACAGGGTAGGACCTCTTATTAGATTGGTTCACCTGGAGGATGGTCTTAGTGATACCTGACTTTGAGTCTCTTTCAGTCTCTCTGCAAAGCTCATTTTGAAAGACATTTCTGAGTCACCTACTAAATGCCAGACACTGAGACGAGCAAATGAACAAAATAAAAGTCTCTGACTCTAGAGAACATCAACCCTGGAGTGTGGCAAGGCAGGAGGCAGTGGTGGGGGACAAGGAAGAGAAACATATGCATTCTCTACATTCAAATCTTATTATACTTTAATTTCTTAGAGAATAAAACAGGAGGGGAAGTCAGAACAAATAAAGGGCAATATCTGAAAACTGTTAAGGACTTTAAAATTATATTCAAATTTATTTAAGTACTCTTAAATTTACTTAGTGTGTAACAGAAGAGAAAGCTGAGTTATATTGGTTACCTTCTGTTTTGTAAACACAAATTAATTTTACAGTGTCTCTGTTAGCCAGATAAAACCATTGATATTTATTGACAAGTAAATCAAAAGCATTTGTGGTTACTGGCTTCTTAATTTCATCTACTCTTGTTTCTGTCATTGGGGAGTTTTCAGCACTTATATTGGTCTATTTTGATGAAAGACTCACAACAGAGGGCAACTAAAACAAGAGTGTTCCTCAAGTGATTTTTCTAGGATGTGAGACATACATTATTACTTTATTAGTCCTCCCCAAATTTTGAGGACATTCATACATAAATCTGAGAGTTATTTTCATGAGATTATCTCACCAGATGGCTTACTTAAATATTTGTACCATTGTAGAAGTAATTACTTCATCTGGGAGAAAAAAAAAGTTCAAAAGCCCTGGATTATTTTTGTCTGTTTTCATTTGTTTCATTTCTATTTTACTGTCTAGACAGGAGCAAACTTACATTTCTATGATAAATAGATGTTGGTAAGGTTTTGGAAAATACATATATGTCAAAATATAGGAAATTCTCTGTGTCAGAAATAACCACAATTATGGTGTAATGAATGTAATACTCAACAGAGAGTTGGAAAATAAGGCATAAATTTTGGGTTTTAGTAAATATGAGCTATGTAACCTTGTGCAAGTCACTTAATCTTACTAACATCATATTCACCTGCTAAAAATTGAGTAAATAATGGAAACTCCATTGAGCCATTATATAAATTAAAACATAATGCCACATTTGAAAGTGCTAAGGAATCCATGCCAGAAAAGGCAAATTAAGGAGTTAATCAATTACCATTATTAATTTTTAAAATACTAAATAATTACTAGTTTAAACATCTAGTACTGCTAGTAACAGATTATATTTTGCCTAGCTATTTGAAGCAGTTAAAAAGAGTTCCTTTGAGGATTTGAGGCAGTTTGGCTAACAGGGAAAGAATCCTGGCCTGTAAGCAGATACCCGAGTTCGATTTCCCGGTGTTCTATTTGCCTGAAGTGACACCTTGGGTAGATTATTTGACTTTTCAGGGCCACATGTCCTCCTCTATATAATGAGGATGGTTATGAAAAATAAATTACTACTTGTAAAGTACTTAAGAGGCTTGTCTGGAGTGTTATGTCAGCCCTGTGGATGTTAGCTAGTAGTGATCATCACTGAGTTTTCCTGAAAGCCTGACAACAGCTGGGAGGCCACAGCTGGCCACACTCTAGTGTCCCACAAAGGGACCACAGGAGTCTCCTCCTCTGGCCTTCCATGACCCCACTCTGTCCAAGACTGCTAGTAGTGCCACACAAGGACATAGAAACTGAGAGCAAGACTGAGAGAATAAGACTAAGATAGAGAGAATTGTGAAAATAGAACAAAATGCTATTTTATCAAAACGGAGCAGAGTTTGGAAGGCTTCTAGTGCTCTATCTTCTCACTAAATATTTGTATGACTTTCAAATGTCACAATTTCTCTGCAGCAGTATTTACTCATGCGAATATTAGAAATTATTATAATTACATTGAACATTTGTTTAGGGTTTTACGATTTACAAGGTGGAAGAGCAGAATAACTTAATTGTGAACACCAGAGCTTTGGAATCAAGCAGGATTAGATCCCAGGTTTGTTGTTTACTAGCTGGTCAAGTCATTTAACTTCTCTGTGCCTCAGTGTTTTAATTTGAAAACTAGTAATTCAGAAATGTTCCTCAGAATTATTAAAGATTTAAATAAAATTGTTTTTATTCTCATATATATATTTATAGAATCTCATAGCAGAAAATTTGGCAGTGGTGATGCACATAAATGGTAGCTTTAAAAACAATTTTTCAGAGGGAGGAGCCAAGATGGCCGAATAGGAACAGCTCCGGTCTACAGCTCCCAGCGTGAGAGACGCAGAAGATGGGTGATTTCTGCATTTCCATCTGAGGTACCCGGTTCATCTCACTAGGGAGTGCCAGACAGTGGGCGCAGGTCATTGGGTGTGCACACCGTGCACAAGCCGAAGCAGGGCGAGGAAAGATCCAAAATTGACACCCTAACATCACAATTAAAAGAACTAGAAAAGCAAGAGCAAACACATTCAAAAGCTAGCAGAAGACAAGAAATAACTAAAATCAGAGCAGAACTGAAGGAAATAGAGACACAAAAAACCCTTCAAAAAAGTAATGAATCCAGGAGCTGGTTTTTTGAAAGGATCAACAAAATTGATAGACCGCTAGCAAGACTAATAAAGAAAAAAAGAGAGAAGAATCAAATAGACGCAATAAAAAATGATAAAGGGGATATCACCACCGATCCCACAGAAATACAAACTACCATCAGACAGTACTACAAACACCTCTACGCAAATAAACTAGAAAATCTAGAAGAAATGGATAAATTCCTCGACACATAAACCCTCCCAAGACTAAACCAGGAAGAAGTTGAATCTCTGAATAGACCTGAATTTCAGGATCTGAAATTGTGGCAATAATCAATAGTTTACCAACCAAAAAGAGTCCAGGACCAGATGGATTCACAGCCGAATTCTACCAGAGGTACAAGGAGGAACTGGTACCATTCCTTCTGAAACTATTCCAATCAATAGAAAAAGAAGGAATCCTCCCTAACTCATTTTATGAGGCCAGCATCATTCTGATACCAAAGCCGGGCAGAGACACAACCAGAAAAGAGAATTTTAGACCAATATCCTTGATGAACATTGATGCAAAAATCCTCAATAAAATACTGGCAAAACAAATCCAGCAGCACATCAAAAAGCTTATCCACCATGATCAAGTGGGCTTCATCCCTGGGATGCAAGGCTGGTTCAATGTATGTGAATCAATAAATGTAATCCAGCATATAAACAGAGCCAAAGACAAAAACCACATGATAATCTCAATAGATGCAGAAAAAGCCTTTGACAAAATTCAACAACCCTTCATGCTAAAAACTCTCAATAGATTAGGTATTGATGGGACGTATTTCAAAATAATAAGAGCTATCTATGACAAACCCACAGCCAATATCATAGTGAATGGGCAAAAACTGGAAGCATTCCCTTTGAAAACTGGCACAAGACAGGGATGCCCTCTCTCACCACTCCTATTCAACATAGTGTTGGAAGTTCTGGCCAGGGCAATTAGGCAGGAGAAGGAAATAAAAGGTATTCAATTAGGAAAAGAGGAAATCAAATTGTCCCTGTTTGCAGACGACATGATTGTGTATCTAGAAAACCCCATTGTCTCAGCCCAAAATCTCCTTAAGCTGATAGGCAACTTTATCAAAGTCTCAGGATAAAAATCAATGTACCAAAATCACAAGCATTCTTACACACCAACAACAGACAAACAGAGAGCCAAATCATGAGTGAACTCCCATTCACAATTGCTTCAAAGAGAATAAAATACCTAGGAATCCAACTTACAAGGGATGTGAAGGACCTCTTCAAGGAGAACTACAAACCACTGCTCAAGGAAATAGAAGAGGATACAAACAAATGGAAGAGCATTCCACGCTCATGGGTAGGAAGAATCAATATCGTGAAAATGGCCATACTGCCCAAGGTAATTTACAGATTCAATGCCATCCCCATCAAGCTACCACTGCCTTTCTTCACAGAATTGGAAAAAACTGCTTTAAAGTTCATATGGAACCCAAAAAGAGCCCACATTGCCAAGTCAATCCTAAGCCAAAAGAACAAAGCTGGAGGCATCACACTACCTGACTTCAAACTATACTACAAGGCTACAGTAAACAAAACAGCATGGTACTGGTACCAAAACAGAGATATAGATCAATGGAACAGAATAGAGCCCTCAGAAATAATGCCACATATCTACAACTATCTGATCTTTGATAAAACTGAGGAAAACGAGCAATGGGGAAAGGATTCCCTATTTAATAAATGGTGCTGGGAAAAGTGGCTAGCCATATGTAGAAAGCTGAAACTGGATCCCTTCCTTACACCTTATACAAAAATCAATTCAAGATGGATTAAAGACTTAAACGTTCAACCTAAAACCATAAAAACCCTAGAAGAAAACCTAGGCATTACCATTCAGGACATAGGCATGGGCAAGGACTTCATGTCTAAAACACCAAAAGCAATGGCAACAAAAGCCAAAATTGACAAATGGGATCTAATTAAACCAAAGAGCTTCTGCACAGCAAAAGAAACTACTATCAGAGTGAACAGGCAACCTACAACATGGGAGAAAATTTTCACAACCTACTCATCTGACAAAGGGCTAATATCCAGAATCTACAATGAACTCAAACAAATTTACAAGAAGAAAACAAACAACCCTGTCAAAAAGTGGGCGAAGGACATGAACAGACACTTCTCAAAAGAAGACATTTATGCAGCCAAAAAACACATGAAAAAATGCTCATCATCACTGGCCATCAGACAAATGCAAATCCAAACCACAATGAGATACCATCTCACACCAGTTAGAATGGCAATCATTAAAAAGTCAGGAAACAACAGGCGCTGGAGAGGATGTGGAGAAATAGGAACACTTTGACACTGTTGGTGGGACTGTAAACTAGTTCAACCATTGTGGAAGTCAGCGTGGCGATTCCTCAGGGATCTAGAACTAGAAATACCATTTGACCCAGCCATCCCATTACTGGGTATATACCCAAAGGACTATAAATCATGCTGCTATAAAGACACATGCACACGTATGTTTATTGCGGCATTGTTCACAATAGCAAAGACTTGGAACCAACCCAAATGTCCAATAATGATAGACTGGATTAAGAAAATGTGGCACATATACACCATGGCATACTATGCAGCCATAAAAAATGATGAGTTCATGTCCTTTGTAGGGACATGGATGAAATTGGAAATCATCATTCTCAGTAAACTATCGCAAGAACAAAAAACCAAACACCGCATATTCTCACTCATAGGTTGGAATTGAACAATGAGATCACATGGACACAGGAAGGGGAATATCACACTCTGGGGACTGTGGTGGGGTGGGGCGAGGGGGGAGGGATAGCATTGGGAGATATATCTAATGCTAGATGACGAGTTAGTGGGTGCAGCGCACCAGCATGGCACATGTATACGTATGTAACGAACCGGCACAATGTGCACATGTACCCTAAAACTTAAAGTATAATAAAACAAAAAAACAAGAAAAAAACAATTTTTCTGTCTGTTGTATGTAATTTATATAATTTGTGTGTAATCCCACCATGATTAGAAACAATATTATCTGAGGACACTAAATGCAACATAAGACAATTTTGGAGAAAGTGGTTATAAAACAATTCCACAGAAAACATAGGAATATGCCCTAAAATATTGACCATGGTTATTAAAATGAGGGAAAATATGGAGCAATATTTCTTATCTATACTTATCCATATTTTAGCATTCAATACAAACATCATGTTTTCCATATTTGAGAAAATTATATGTGCCATGAAAATACTTGTCAACTTTGTCCATCTTGCAAACCTCCTCTCCCCTGTCTTCTACCTAGGAACTGTAATAGGAGGTATTGCTCCTGAAAAGTCTATGATTGCGTGATATATTTTGAAAATAATGGTCATGATTCACCATATTTTCTTACATGATGGAAAAAAATTTTTAGTCACTTTTCTAGTAATATGAATAAAAATGATCATCTTGTGTTTGGTAAGTAGTGACTGCATGCTTACTACCATCCCTGCTAGGAGTTTCTTTCCTCTGCACCACCTCTTTCACACATAGCCCCCAGAATATATCTTTCTAAACCCAGATTCGGTAACTATCTTTCCACAAGCTTAAAAATGACTGCTCAAAGCATAAAAATAAGAGGCTGTTTTTTTGCCTGTTTTTTTAAAGTAGTATGGCCTTAAGTTCTATTTTCAGCTTCTTATCCTATTATACCTTATTTTAACAAAGTACCTCATTTTCTAGGTATATTGGAATACAGTCTTCAAGTTTGGGGTCATTTTCTCTCTCTGACTGACATGAATTATGATTTCCTCATTATTTGACTGTGAAAATCCTTTTAATATCTCAGTTCAACCTAAAACTTCACCAAGAGCAGATATTAAACTGTTTGTTCAGATTTCAGAATGCCCAGTGAATGAGTCACATTTACAAAGTGTGAGTTTACCTATATGCATATGGTGGTCCCTTCTCACCATACTGCAAGGAAACCCATTATTCTAGCATTCTTAGTTGCCTTGTATTAGTACTCTGATGGTCAGAAACCCTAATCACTTTGAACTTGGCAGCCTGTTAGTGGTAAGACTTGGACTTTGAGGCTGAAGTCCTTTCTTCGGGACGTTGAGTCCAAATTTACATATTGTACTTGAATCCAGATTTTTCAAAACATTTAATTGGCAGTTACAGGCACTGCCCCAACTAAAATTAAAGTGGAACTTTCATTTCTCATTTGTCCTTGTTCCTTGAGTATATTATTGCCTTGGAAGCCTTGTGGGAAATAGATGATTTGTAAAGCATGGTTCTATTAATCCTGGGTTTCTCTAGCCAAACAACATTTAACAGCAATCTAAAACTTATCATACATGTAGTATATTAGCAAAATTGCCATCCTGTTCTTACTCATATACTTCCTCCCTCAAAGTGGCTGGTGTCTAAGGTAAAGAGTGTCTCCAGACCCATTCATATTATTCTTTTCTACTTTCCACTGCCGGGTAAATCAATGGCCAGACTACACTGCCATCCCTTTTTTTTCTGAATTTTTGTCTACTTTTTTTTTTTTTTTACTCTGAATCTCATGCTTCTTTTTAATAAAGCAGGATGTTCCCAAACTCTTCATCCTCACCAGTACACACGAACACACACACACACACAAACACACACATTTTCTATTTTCATCTCTTGCTTGTTTCCGTGATGGCACTTATAACTTAAATTTGCTTCTTTCTATGTTTGCTTGTTGTTTCTTGGCCATCCTCACTGGTATCTCCAAGATGCAGAGGGTGTGCCTTTCTTACTCACCTCTGTAACCCCAGTTACCACAGCAGTGTCTAGCACGAATGAGGAGCACAATAATAACAAATTCATTCTCATCTAATATTAGTGCCCAAACCTCTGGAGCATGAAGCCCACCTACTACAATAATAGTCATTTTGAGGACAAATATGATTTTTCCTGCTACTTGTGTTTTTCCTTTAGAGATTATGAGTATATACTTTTTTTTAAATTGTGGTAAAATACATATAATCAAATTTTCCATCTTAACCATTTTAAGGGTAAAATTCAGTGGCATCATACACATTCACAGTGCTAAGTAACTATTAGCACTATTTCCAAAATCACTTCACCTCAGATAGAAACTCCATCCCCAATAAGCAATCACTCCCCAGTTCCCACTTCTCCAGTCCCTGGTAGTCTTTACTCTACTTTCTATCTCCATCAACGTATCTATTCCAGATATTTCAAATAATTGAAATCATACAATATTTGTCTTCTTGTATCTGGTTTATTTTTTCAGTCTAGTGTTCTCAGGGTTTATCCATGTTGTGGCATGTATCAGACTTCATTCCTTCTTAAGGCTAAACATGCCATTGTATGAATATACAGGACAACATTTTGTTCATCTGTTTATCTACTGATGAACACCAAGTTTATTTGGCTATCATAAGCAATGTTTTTATGAACATTGATATACAAATATTTGTTTGAGTTTCTGTTCTCAATACTTTGAGAACCTAGGAGTTCTCAAATACCTAGGAGTGGAATTTTTGTTTCACATGTAAACTCTACATTTAACTGTTTGTGGAACGACCAAATGGTTTCCGCAGCTGTTACATCATTTTACATTGTGATGGGTATAGTTTTGATTGGCTTTCTTTCTTTAGCTGAGACTGTGAAGAGGGAGTGAATTAGACAAAAACCTGAACAATTCTCAAACATATATGCTTAGACTATATATGTCTAAGATTGTCAAATGGTTAGACAAAAAGAAATATCCTATATGGTTTGAATCAGCAGCAGTTTTAAGCAAGAACATGATAAACCATACATTTAAAATGTATTTCAAGCAAGAATCCAGTAGGTGAAATGTCTATTCACATCAATATATAGCCATAGAAATGGGCTCAATATTTAAAAAACACAAAATGTAGAACATTTTTTTTTGTTTGTTTCAGATAAAGTCCTAAAATATGCAACCCAAAATCCAAGAAATATTTTAAAATTGCTGGTCTCTATCTCTTTTCAGTAGCTAGAGAATGGGAACAAAAACATAAATCCAAAGTTCTCCTGAATTTTAAGGTTTAAATCTTTTATTGAAATGCTCTAAAATAACAAGAGAATGCATCCAGTTATGTTTGGAAAAAAAATGTTGCTTTGTAAATAAGAATATATTTTTTCCTAGTCACTTCTTGATTTTTCCATGCAAGTCACGTATTCCCAAAAGATGAAAAATATTAAATATTTACCATAGAACATCTAAAAACAATAAAAAAGGGACTAGTCCCCACTGTATATAAAGCTCTGCTCCAGGCATAAGGATAACTAGTTGGAGTCTCTGGGCACTCATAAGAGAACAGATTCATTTTTAACAAGTCTTTCGCCTACACAGAACTGTAATTGCATAGCTTGTGTGGTGTCTGTATCTTTATCATTTTCTATTTATTCATCTATCCTGTGTTTCCTGTTCATTTCCTGTGAAAAATGAATAATTAAATAAGCTAACAAATTAAACAAATTTAACAAATTAAAACAAACAAATGAGAAAGCATATAGATTTTTTGTACTCAAAAGTGACACTTTCCCTCACTGTTGGAATACTCTAAACTCTTTTCTATCCATACGATGGGTAGTGTATTTAATTCGTGTACCACCCAGGTAGCATAGTGTATAGAAAACAGCATTAGGGTTCACAGACTTTGTTTTTATCCTGCCTCTACTTCTAATAAGCTGTTTGACTTTGAATACCTCACTAAACCTCTTTAGGCTATGTTTCCTTATTCGTAAATTGAGCAAGTTGAACCAGATCACTGGTTTACACATTGTGTTGCCTCAGAAGCTAAAATTGGAGATGAGGGGGAAGTAAATTAGTAGGGCTCTGTGCTCACTGTGCTTACTTTAAATACAGTGGTTTTACTTTCATTTGCCTTATGCATTTGGCATCTGTGCACAGTTTTATTTGGGAAGAAGAAAAAGTCCCTCTTTTGGAAATGGTGGTGGGGAACCCAGAAATATGAACTAGTCAGTAACAATTCTTTGCTACCCAAGTATGAAATTATTTATTGTCTTAATATACAACCAGTAAAAATAACAGCATCTAACCAGTTGGGGTGTTGATGAGAAGTCACAAATAAGTATTGTACAATACTGTAAGTACTGGCGAAGTTCAGAGGAACATGTATCTGTATAACTTCCTAAAATGACCAAATGAAGAGTATTAGAGCATTCAAAAATTGAGATTGTGAAGCAGGAGTACTGCTTCAAAAATAACATTGTTATTTTTCAATAGGTATTCTGCATCAAGATAATACATTTTTTAAAATGTACATACTTTGGTATAACTAAAATAATGATAATGCAACATTTTTCAATTTACTGCCATCAAACAAATTGATGTTTGTTACTTTCTTAAAGGGGCTGACTTATCCTAAGGAACTTTATTCTCTCATATTTCATGGAAATAACATTAGACTAGAAAACAAGGCTCTCATCTGGTCTTGGCTTCCTAAAGTGCACAGGTAAAGGCTTGCATTTGCCCTCTATGCATTTGATTTGCTCTCTCTTTCTCTGCATTGTCACACTTTTGCCATGGAGATCATTATATACTGTGTATGTATATGCATGCATGTGTATGTGTTGGTGGGAGTGGGGAGGGCTCAGGCTAATATCTGTCCATAATGAAGAATAATATTTCAGTTCATAAGTTTTTTAAAAATGTCAGATGTCTCAATCTTTATAGTTGAAAGCATCCATAATAGTCATTTTGTCCAACATCCATGCTAACATTCAATCTTTCTATAGTATCTCTTAAAGATTTTCCAGTAATAGAAAGTATATTTCATTATGAAACAGCTGAACTTATTTTAAAACAACAAACAAAAGCACTTGGTAAAATTCCAATCCTTGGATGTGAGTTTTACTCTCTTAAGACACAGACTAATCTTTACCTATTGACCTGTTGTCCTCATGCCAGTACCTTAAATGTCTGATGGAGGCTGACATGTTCCCAGGTCTACATACATGAGCATGAAACTTGGGATTGAGAATTTGAGTTGCAATATGTTTGATTGAATCCTCCCTGTTGTTATTTTAATATTCTTAATAACTTTTGAACAAATGCTCCCTGATTTTTATTTTGCAGTGGGCCTTGCAAATTATGTAGCCAGTTATGCATAATCCTTAAATCATCTATTCTCAAGCTTAATAACCCCAGTTCCTACAGTATCTGTTCATGATCATTGGTATTATACAGGTTTGTTTGTCAATGACCATGTTAGAAGGTAATGGCCAGAAATGAGCACAGTGCTCTAGGTGTGGTCTGATCAGTGAGAAAATCAGAAGCATGATTATATCCCATGGTGATATCTCCTGTGCCTCTCTATTCTCACCCCCTCAAGATCCAGTCTCTTGACACTTCTCTGCCCTGCTCTGAGCCCAAGAAGGCCAACTCATGCAGAGGGTAGCAGTTGAGATCCCTTCCTGCCTGGCATCCAGCTGGGTTAATGGAAGGCAGTAGGGGAGGGCAATGTAGAAGAGAGAATGCAGGGTATCTCCTTCCCCTTCCCTGTCTCAGAGCTGCATCCCTCTCTGTGGTAAAAATTGCATCCCTCTCTGATGAGAATTCCTACTGGTTGGTCCCTCTTTTACAGTTCCATATCTTCTTTTTTTTCCTTCTCCCTCTTTTTTTTTTTTTTTTTTTTTTTTTTAGGTAGAGTCATGCTTTGTCACCCAGGCTGGAGTGCAGTGGCACAATCTCGGCTCACTCCAACCTCCGCCTCCCAGGTTCAAGCAATCCTCCTGCCTCAGCTTCCCAAATAGCTGAGATTACCAGCATGTGCTACCACGCCAGGCTAATTTTTGTATTTTTAGTAGATACGGGGTATCCCCATGTTGGCCTGGCTAGTCTCGAACTCCTGACTTCAAGTGTTTCACATACCTCGGCCTCCCAAAGTGCTAGGATTACAGGTGTGAGCCACTGCATGTGGCCTACAGTTCCATATCTCACTGGTCACACAGTACTGTTTTCTCTCCTTGTTCCTTTAGCCCTAGTGGGTATTAATGGTTTCCTGCTGCTTCTGCTCCTTTAATCCTGATCACATACCATATGCATTCCTTTCATAGAACCATTTTCATTTGAACCATATGGGGTAAATTCTGTACCTTGCCAATGCTCTGATAAATCACTCAGCATGTTGGTGTCATATGTCTCTTAATGTCTCCAGTTAGCATACATTTTGGACATTTCTCTAGAAAGATGAAGTTGACTTTCTTTGCTTCACTGAGTCACTGACCTAGGGTCTCCTTCCACATTTCCAATCACCTTCTGAAGACTTATAGAGGGTACTCAAATTTCTATCTTTGAGACATCATGCTTCCAGAATATCATTAATTCAAAAATATGAAGAAATAGTTCCTATACATCAAGCATTCTCTCTCCCAAGAACTGGGGATATAGTAGTGACCAATCACATCAAATTCTCTATCCTAATGGAGTTTAGTGAGATTCTTGTGAGAGATAAAAGATATAAACCAGAGGCCTCTAAGAAGCTAAATAACATGACTGGCCTAATTTAGAAGTTTTACTCTGGTTGCTGTATTCAGAATACACTGCCAGAATCCAGGAGAGGAAGCAAGAACAGTTAGAATAATACAAGTAAGGAGACATGGCAGCTTGGACTAAGGCAGTGGCAGCAGGGGGTAAGGTTATTCTGTGACTCAGCATACCTCCTTGCTGCCCTGTTTCTCTGTTCCATTGAATCCCAAGGTAGGATCCATATCTGATCCTGTACTTTACCAGCTTACTACAAACAATTTGTGAATAACTGCATAGTGAATTAAAGGTCAACAATATCCACTTTACACTCAAGGAAAATAATTTTCCTTTTTCTTAGCAATCATATTAGGTGTTTTTCTTCTTTTTTCAAACGTAAAGAAAAATGTTGTAATATTCCTGGGGACTATGAAAGAAATTAAAAGTCAAATGAAAGCTGTTCATTGAATTATTCATGGAAAATTATCTAAAATGAAATGAAAAAGGGGATTATCATCTTCAATTTGCCTCAATATTGAGGTATGGGTAAGAAAATACTCAGAAAATTAAGGTTTCCTTAACAAGATTTTTAATGGTTTTGTTAGTAACTTTTTTTTTTGTTTTGTTTTGTTTTTTTTTATTTTTTTTATTTTTTATTTTTAATGTTTTTTTTTTTTATTATTATACTCTAAGTTTTAGGGTACATGTGCACATTGTGCAGGTTAGTTACATATGTATACATGTGCCATGTTAGTAACTTTTACAAAAACAAAAAGGTCACATTTTCCGGAAGATGGAATAATCAATAACTATACTATTTTGAGCACTAGGTTTGACTCCTTCTACCTACTCTTTGTATAAAAAAAAAACTAATTTTTAATTATACTGAGAGCAAGAGAAATTCAGTGAAGGAGGAGGAGAGAGAGGAGGAGGAGAAGAAAAGAAAACATCAATAAATATACTATGAAGTAGTTCCCCAGAAATAAAGCTGCCCTATAGAGCTTTCCTAAAGTAACAAGGTTGGTGGTTTATAAAACAAAATGCAACCATCTTTTGTTGTTGAATTGTAAGACATTTTTTTAAATGTGCAGCATAAGTTTGATTCAAAAACCAGTGATATCTAGGTCATATTAGAATAAATTAGTGGAGAGCTGAAATGTAATTAATTGAAAATAAGGGGAAGGGGATAAGTTCTTGCTCCCTTGCCCCATTATGGAGAGTATCTGTTTCTATTACAACTGTTGTAGTTATCCAAGACTAAATTCAATTTTCTTGCAAAGGTCATATATTCTCTCATTATCTAATCAAAGATATACTATTAATATATAAGGCATTAATTAATTTAAAATTCCATTAATACTTATGTGACAGGCTTTTGGACCTGGATCTTCAACAATTATTTGACAATCCATTTCTTCAGTTCTTAGGAAATAATCTGACAATATGTATGGGCTGCAAACAGGTTTCTTTGGAGGATCTTCAAAGCACCACTACCAACATCTTCTAACTTCAGATCTGCCAGTCAGGAAGAGGCTTGATAACTAGAGGTTTTGTTGTGCAGACATTATGGTCCTTAAGAACAGTTTTTTAGTCTCATGGTTGTCTACAAAACTGAAGGCCAAATAGTCTTTTATCTTCTGAAGAAAATGAAGTTTTTACTTAAGTAAAGAAAACAAAAACTACCACAGAATAGTCAAACAATCCTGAAAGGCTATGGTCACAACAAATTTCTTATAAGATAAGATAATAATACGATAAATTTGATAATTAGGTAAATAATGGCTGTGCCATTTATTCTTCTTAATTATTCATTTGGTAGGAGGAGAAACAAGATGGCTGAAGAGAAGCATCCAGCAATCGTTCCCCTTGCAGGAACACCAAATTGAACAACTGTCTACACAAGAAAGCATCTTCATGACCAAAAATCAAGCTAGCAACTACAGTGTATGCCTTTAACCTCATGTCAAGGAAACAGGTATGAAAGAAGGTAGGAAAGACAGTCTTTATTTGCGTACACCACCCCTCCCCCATCCCCCAGTTCACCACAAGGCAGTAGGACAGAGAATCTATATGCTTGGGAGAGGGAGAGTGCATTGATTTTGAGACTTCACATTATAACTCAGTGCTGACTTGTCACAGGGGAAAGTAATGCAAGGCAGAATTCAGCCAGCCTCCAAGGAGGAAGGATTTAGACCAGCCCTAGTCAAAGGGAAATAGCACATCCGAGAAGTAAGAACCTGAGCCATGGCTAGCACCACCACCATGAGTTAAATTGCCCTGAGATCCTAAATAAATTAGAAAGGCTGCCTAGACCACAAGGACTGTAATTCCTGGGCAGTCTTGGTGCTTTGCTGGGCTTGGAGCCAGTGGACTTGGGGTGCATGTAACTCAGTAAGAAACCAGCTGGAGCAGCAAAGGGAGTGTCATCCCTCCTCCAACTCTGGCAACACAGCTCACAATTCTGGGAGAATTCCTCCAGCTTGAGGAAAAGAGAGAGAAGAGTAAAGAGAACTTTGTCTTGCAAGTTCGGTAACAGCTCAGCCGTAGTAAAATAAAGCACAAAGCTAATTCATAAAGACCCCAATACTAGGGCATAGCTCCCAGATGACATTTCTAGACTCACCCTGGGCCAGAAGGGAACCTGCGGCCCTGAAATGAAAGACCTAGGCCTGGCAGGATTCACTACCTCTGACTAAAGAGCCCTTGAGCATTGAATATACAGCAGCCATAGCCAGACAGTAGTCACCATAGGCCTTGGGCAAGACTCAGTACTGTGCTAGCCTCAGCTGTGACCAAGAAGAGTCCCAGCAATGGTAGTCACAGGAAGGCTTGTGACACCCCTTCTCCAACTTCAGGCAGCTCAGTACGAAGAGAAATAGAGACACTGCTTGGGAGAAAGTAAGTAAAGAGAACAAGACTTCACCTGGTAATACAGGGAATTCTCTTGTATCTTACTGAAGATCACCAAGGTGGCACCTGTATAAGTCAGCAAGACTTAAAGTGTTACTGGGCTTGGGGTGCCCCCTAATGCATACAGTGACCAAAGACTTAGAACAACATTCAATTCCCTTTAAATACTTGGAAAGCCCTATCAAGAATTATGGGTATAAATAAGCTCAGACTGCAATGATTAGAATAAACTAGTTTTTCAATGTCCAGACATTGACAAACATCCAAAAGCATTAAGACCATCTAGGAAAACATGACTTTGCCAAACTAAATAAGGCATCAATGAGCAATCCCAGAGTAACAGAGATATGTGACCTTTCAGATAACTCAAAATAGCTGTTTTGAAGAAACACAATGAAATTCAAGATATTACAGAGAAGAAATTCAGAATTCCATCAGATAATTTTAACAAAGAGATTAAAATAATCTTAAAAACTCAAGCAGAAATTCTGGAACAGCCCTATTAACTGACAAACAGAAAAATGCATCAGAGTCTCTCAAGAGCAGAATGGATGAAGGAGAAGAAAGAATTTGTGTGCTTGAACAGGCTATTTGAAAACACACAGACAGAGGAAAGCAATAACAAAAAAAAATGAAGCATGCCTAGAAGATTTATAAAATAGCATGAAAACGGAAAATCTAAGAGTTATTGGCCTTAAATAGGAGATAGAAAGAGAGATTGGGGCAGAGAGTGTATTGAAAAAAATAACAGAGAACTTTCCAAACCTACAGAAATATATCAATATTTAAGTACAACAAGGTTATAGAACACAAGCAGATGTAACCCAAATAAGACTAACTCAGGAGATTTAATAAGCAAACTCCCAAACATCAAAAATAAAGAAAGGATCATAAAGGCAGCAAGAAAAAAAGCAACAAATAACATACAAAGGAGCACCAATACATCTGGCAGCAGACTTAAAGCCTTGACCTTACACGCCAGGAGAGAGTGGCATGGCATATCTAAAGTGCTGAAGGGAAAACAAAAACAAAACCAAAAACAAACCAAACAAAAAAATCTTTTATCCAAGAATAGTATATCCAGTGAAAATATCTTGCAGACATGAAGGAGAAATAAAAAAATTCCCCAGGCAAACAAAACCTGAGGGATTTCATCCATACCAGATCTTTCCTAAAGAAAGTTTTTAATCTGAAAGAAAAAGACATTAAGGAGCAATAAGAAATCATTTGAAAGTACAAAACTGACTGGAAATAAGTACACAGACAAATATAAAATACTGTAACTGTAATTGTGGTGTGTAAACTACTCGTATCTTGAGTAGGAAGACTAAAAGACAAATCTATGTGAAATAATAACTCCAACAACTTTTAAAGACATATATAGTATAAGAAGATATAAATAGAAACAACAAAAACTTACAGAGCAAGAAGTATGAAGTTAAAGTGTAGAGTTTTTATTAGTTTTTCTTTGTTTTTGCAATAAGAGTTAAGTAGTCATCAATTTAAAGTAATGAGTTATGTTATTTGCAAGCCTCATGGTAACCTCAAATCAAAAAACCTAAAAAATATAAACACACACACACACACAAAATAAAAATCAAAAAATTACAACATACCACCAGAGAAAAACACTTTCACAAAAAGTAAGACAGGAAGGACAGAAGGAAGAGAAGACCCCAAGACAACCAGAGAACAAATAACAAAGTGGTAGTAGTAAGTCCTTATTTATCAATAATAACATTAAATATAATAGACTAAACACTCCAATAAAAAAAAGTAGAGTGACTGAATGCATTAAAACTAAACTCAACAATATGCTGCCTTCAAGAAACACACCTCACCTATAAAGACATACACTGAAAAAAAAAAACAGATGGATAAAGATATCCCACACCAATGGCATTCAAAGAACAGCAGGAGTAGCTATATATATATATATATATATATATCAGATAAAATAGATTTTAAGACAATAACTACAAAAAGAGGCAAAGAAAGTCATTATATATTGATAAAAGGGTCAATTCAGCAAGCGGATATAACAATTTTAAATATATATGCGCCTAACACTAGAGAACACAGATATATAAAACAAATGTTATAAGAGCTAAAGAGAGTGATAGATCCCAATACAATAATAGTTTTAGATTTCACCATCCCACTTGCAGGATTGGACAGATTATCCAGACAGGAAATCAATAAAGAAATATCAGACTTAATAGGCACTATAGACCAAATGGATCTAATAGATATTTACAGAATATTTTATTTAACAACTGCAGAATATACATTCTTTTCCTCAGCACATACATCATGCTCAAGGAGAGACTATATGTTAGGCCACAAAACAAGACTCACAAAATTAAAAGAAAATGAGATCATGTCAAGTGTTTTCTCAGAGAACAATAGAATAATATTAAACAGCAATAACAAGAGGTACTTTGGAAACTATAAAAACACGTGGAAGTTAAACAAAATTTTCCTGAATGACCAGTGGGCCCATGAAGAAATTAAAACAAAAATTTTAAAAATTCATGAAGCCACTGAAAATGAAAATGCAACATCCCAAAATCTACGGGATACAGAGAAAGCAATGTTAAGAGGAAAGTTTATACCAATAAGTGCCTACATTAAAAAGGCATATAAATTTTTAATGAAAAACCTAATAACATGTCTTAAATAACTAGAAAAATAAGGGCAAGGCATACTCAAAATTTGTAGAAAAAAAGAAATAATACAGATCAGAGCAGAAGTAAATGAAATTGAAACAGGGGAAAATACAAAACATCAATGAAATGAAAAGATTGATTTCTGAAAGGATAAAAAAAATCAACCAACCTTTAGCCAGACTAAAAACAAAAGAGAGAAGATCAAAATTTTAAAAGCAGATGAAAAAGGTGATATTACAACTGATACCACAGAAATCCAAAGGATCATTGTAGACTACTATGAGCAACTATATGCCAATAAATTGGAAAACCTAGAGGAAACAGGTAAATTCCTAGACACATACAAATTACCAGTATCAAATGATGAAGAAATCTAAAACCGAAATAGACTAATAACAAGTAAGAAGATTAAAGTCATAAGAAAAATTCTCCCAGCCAAAAAAAAAAAAAAAAAAAAACCTCAGGGCCCACTGGATTTATTGCTAAATTCTAGCAAACACTTATGAGGAACTAATACAAATACTACTCAAAGTGTTCCAATATACAGAGGAGGAGAGAATATTACCAAACTCATTGGAAGCACTACTAATTCTATGAGGCCAGTAATATCCTGATACCAAAACAGGATGAAGACACATCAAAAAAACAAAAATGCAGGACAATATCTCTGATAAACATAGATGCAAAAATCCTCAACAAAATACTAGCAAACCAAATTCACCAATGCATTAAAAACATCATTCATTTTACTTTAAGTCCTGGGATACATGTGCAGAACATGCCAGTTTGTTACACAGATATACATGTGCCATGGTGGTTTGCTGCACCTATCAACCCTTGTTCTCTGAGACCCCAGTGACAATACCTGCCTCACCTCACATTACCCAGTGGAAAATCGGAACAAATCTACTTTGACAGGCAAAGTGCTACATAAGTGTACGGCATTCTTATTTTTATTTTTAAAAAACATGTATGTGCAGGTTATAATGGCTTTCAAAGCTGGCCTCCTTATAAGTGAATGAGATATCAGCAAATTAATAGAATCTATGGTACCCTCAGTCCTGAAAATATCTTAATATTCCACACTTAAAAGACCATTGCGTTTTTTTTTTAATAAGTGAAATTTCATTGTGTTAAAAATAGTGTGATTAAAAACAATATTGTTAAAAAAAATCATTCACCATGACCAAGTGGAATTTATCCCAGGGATACAAGGATGGTTCAACATACACAAATCAATCAGTGTGATACACCATATCAACAGAATGAAGGATAAAACAATATGATCATCTTAATCAATGCTGAAAAGGCATTTGACAAAATTCAGCATTCTTTTATGGTAAAAATCTTCAAAATACTGGGCTTAGGCCAGGCGCGGTAGCTCACGCCTGTAATCCCAGCACTTTGTGAGGCTGAGGCAGACAGATCACAAGGTCAGAAGATCGAGACCATCCTGGCTAACACGGTGAAACCCCATCTCTAGTAAAAAATACAAAAAAAAATTAGCTGGGCGTGGTAGCGGGCACCTGTAGTCGCAGCTACTCTGGAGGCTAAGGCAGGAGAATGGTGGGAACTCAGGAGGCGGAGCTTGCAGTGAGCCCAGATCGTGCCACTGCACTCCAGCCTGGGAGACAGAGTGAGACTCCATTTAAAAATAATGATAATAATAATGGGCTTAGAAGGAACATAACAACAACTGAAAGCCTTGGATCTAAGATTTGGAACAAGATAAGGATGCCTACTGTCCCTACTGTTATTCAGCATAATTCTGGAAGTCCTAGTAAGAGCCATCAATAGAAAGAAGTAAATGGCTTCTAAATTGTAAAAGAAAAAAACAAATTATCTGCATTTGTAGATGATAACTTATATTTAGAAACTCCTAGTGATGCCATCAAAAACCCTTTAGAATAAATTCAGTAAAGTTTCAGAATACCAAATAAAAATACAAAAAAACTGTATTTCTATATGTCAACAGTGAAAAATATGAAAAAGAAATCAAGAAAGTAATCCCATTTACATTAGCTACAAATAAAATAAAATCCCAAGGAATAAACTTAACCAAAAAAGTGAAAGATCTCTACAATGAAAACTAACAAACATTGATGCAAGATATTGAAGATGATACAAAAAAGGTGAAAATATTTTATGTTCATGGATTGGAAGATTTAACATTGTCAAAATGCCCATAACACCCAAAGCAATCTGCAATTCAAAGAAATTTCTATCAAAATACCATTTACCTTCTCACCTAAATAGAAAAAAGTATTCTAAAATTTATGTGGAACCACAAAAGACTCAGAACAGCCAAAGCTATCCTGAGCAAAAGGAACAAAACTGGATGAATGACATTACCTCCAGTTATACTACAGAGCTATAATAAACAAAACAGCATTGTGATGGCACAAAAACAGACACATAGACCAATGTAACAAAATAGATAACACAGAAATAAATCCATATAAAGACTCAAGAAAATACATTAGGGAAAGGACAGTCTCTACAATTAATGGTGTTTGGAACTGGGTATCCATATGCAGAAGAATAAAACTATACTCTTTTCTTGCCGTACACAAAAATGAAATCAAAATGGATTCAAGACTGAAATCTGAGACCTTAAACTACAAAACTACTAAAGAAAACATTTGGGAAAGGCTCTAAGGCTGAATTTGGGCAAATATTTATTGAGTAACACCCAACAACTACAAGCAACCAAAGTAAACATGGACAAAGGGGATCATATCAAGTTAAAAATCTCCTTCACAGCAAAGGAAATGATCAACAAAGTGAAGAGACAACCCATAGAATGGGAAAAATATTAGCAAACTCTACATCTGACAAGGGATTAATAACCAGAATTTATAAGAAGCTCAAGCAACTCAATAGTAAAAAATCTGATAATCCAATTTAAAATGGGAAAAATATCTGAATACACCTTCCTCAAAAGAAGATATACAAATGGCAAACGAGTAAATGAAAGGTTTCTCAATATCACTGATCATCAGAGAAATGCAAATCAAAACTACAATATGATTTCATCTCACCCCATTTAAAATGGCTTTTATCCAAAAGACAGGAAATAACAAATGCTGGCAAGGATATAAAAGACTGGGAATATAAATTACTACCACCACTATGGAGAACAGTATGGAGGGTCCTCAGAAAACTAAAAGTAAAACCACCATATGATTCAGTAATTTTACTGGTATGTACCCAAAAGGAAGTAAAACAATACATCGAAGAGATACCTAGACTCCCATGTTTATTGCAACATTATTGAAAATAACCAAGATTTGTAAGCAAACCGAAGTGTTCATCAGTAGATGAATGGATAAGGCAAATGTAGTGCATATACACAAAAGCACTATTCAGCCATAAAAAAATGAGACCCTGTCATGTTCAACAGCGTGGATGGAACTGGAAGACATTATGTTAAGTGAAATAAGCCAAGCACAGAAAGACAAACTTATGTTCTCACTCATTTGCAGGGGCAAAAAATTGAAATAATTGAATTCATGGAGTATACAGTAGAATGATGGTTACCAGAAGCTGGGAAGAGTAGTGGGGAGTAGAGGAAAAGTGGGGATGGTTAATAAGTACAAAAATATAGTTAGATAGAATGAATAATATCTAGTATTTGATAGCATAGCAGGGTGACTACACTCAACAATTTATTGTAAATTTTTAAATAACAAAAAGAGTATAGTTGGAATGCCCATAACACCAAGAAAGGATAAATGCCTGAGGTGATGAATATCTCATTTACTCTGATGTGATTATTATGCATTGTATCTGTGTATCAAAATATCTCATGTACCCCATGAATATATATATATTTGTATATGTGAATATATATATTCATATATATTCGTATTTATGTGAGTATACATATGAATATATATTCACATATATATTCATATGTATACCTACTATATACCCATAAAAATTAAAATAAAAATTAAAGGGAAAAATAAATAAATACTAAAAATGGGCAAAAGGTCTGAACAGACATTTTTCTAAGGAAGACATACAAATTGCCAACAGACATATGACAAGATGTTTAATGTCACTAATCATCAGGGAAATGAAAATCAAAGCTACAGTGAGATATCACCTCACACCTGTTAGTATAGCTATTATCAAAAAAAAAAATGAGAAATAATCATTGTTAGCCAGGGTGTGGAGAATAGGTAACTCTTGTACACTGTTTCTGAGAATGTAAATTGGTACAACCATTTTGGAAAATAGTTTGGAGCTTCCTTAAAAAATTTAAAATATAACTACTATAAAACCAGCAATACCTCTGCTAGGTATCTACGTAAAGGAAATGAAGTCAGCACCTTGTAGAAAGATCTACATTCCCATGTTTATTGCAGCATCATGCACAGGAACAAAGGTATGAAAACAACTCAAGTGTCCATCAATGGATAAATAAATTGTCATTTTATATATACATACAAATGAATTCTATTCAGCCTTGAAAAAGAAGGCAATCCTGCCATTTGCAACAATATAATGAATCTGAAAGACATTATACTAAGTCAAATAAGCCAGACACAGGAAAATAGATACTGCATGATCTCACTTATATGTGGATTCTAAGAAATAGTCAAATATATGGAAACAGAAAGTAGAACGCTAGTTACCAGGGACACAGAGGAAGAGAAAATGGGGAGATATAAGTCAAAAATGTACAAACTTGCAGCTATGTAAAATGAATGTTTAGATATCTGATATTATAATGTACAGCATTATAATATTATTAACTACAGTTAATAATATTGTATTATATAATTAAATTTGCTAAGAAAGTAGATTTTAGGAACTCTCATCACACATAAGTTACCTATGGAAAGTGATGAGTATACTAATTTGCTTACCTATAGTAAGCATTTCACTGTGTATGTGTTTATCAAAACATCATTTTGTATATATTAACTATACACAATAAAAATAAATTTAAAAAAATCATTTTGGGGGAGAGAGGCTGTAAATATCTCACAGATGTTTTACTTCAGCTAGGAAAAAACCTGAAGAGTTATAAGGATCATGTGTTTTTATTAAAATTATGTAGTTGTATGTAAATACACGTGTTGTTGAAACATAGATAGATACCAAAGCAAAGAAATGATCGATTGGCCTGAAGATAGTCAGGAAGGATTTAATTAGCTCAACAGTGTCATGATTTAAATAAAAATAATAAAGATAAAATAACTGACACCTATAAAATGGCCACTGTGTCTCAATGTGGTTTTAGTGCCCAAGAAAAGAGCTATTACTCTTTCAGAGTTGAGGAAAGGATCAGAGATAGGACTACTTTTTGCTGCTTTATTTTTTTCCTTTTCCTTAGAAACTAGCTTCATCTCCCAAAGTCCCACCTCATCCTCCACCTTTACTTTGTACTGTGCTTGGCCCCATTAGCAACTTAATTGCTGACCCGTCCTGTAGTTCTCTCTGATATTTGACATATCACATCCTTACAACATAACCTTATTCACCATTAGGGGTTCCTAATCCAAATTTCAAGGCATAGATAATAGTTTACTGAGTCAATTGTAATGTATTACATGGGTTTAAACACTTACCTAAAAATCAGAAAGC
Source organism: Homo sapiens (assembly GCF_000001405.40). NCBI lineage: Eukaryota > Metazoa > Chordata > Mammalia > Primates > Hominidae > Homo > Homo sapiens. The sequence goes on along the minus strand of NC_000011.10, from coordinate 49,694,151 downwards.
ACCTCAAGAGTGTTCTAAGATGCGGCACTGGCCGGGTGCTGTGGTGGCTCACGCCCATAATCCCAGCAATTTGGAAGGCCAAAGCAGGCAGATCACTTGAGGCCAAGAGTTGAAGACCAGCCTAGCTCCTCTGGAGGCTGAGGCATGAGAATAGCTTGAACCTGAAAGGCAGAGGTTACAGTGAGCCGAGATTGTGCCACTGCACGCTAGCCTGGGTGACAGAGCAACACTCAGTCTCAAAAAAAAAAAAAAAAAAAAAAAAAAGTGAGGCACATTTCTTCTTTTCCTGCCCATTAAAACTTTCCCCTTTACTATATCTGGAGACAGCTAGGTGCACTCTCAAAGGAGCACAGGATTAAATCAAGCACATGAAATCCAAATTCTGGTCCTGTAAATACAAATGTCCAGCCACTGATTGACCAGCTATTATATGCACAACACAATGTAAGGGGCCTCCTGCACCTTTTCCCATTTGATTCTCTAAACTCTCAATGCATGCATTACTTCTGTGTCTTACAGATAAGGCCACAAGGAGCAGTCTGCAGAGCCCATATTCAAAACCAAATCCTTCTAAAGTCAAAAACCAGGCTGACTCCCCTGGATGCTATTCTAATGTCAAATTTCAAATTATACTTTGTTTTCTACAGTGTGAGTTGTGAAAAGTAACACAAATCCACTGTGATTACCACTAGCATGTTAAAAGATAACATTTTATGGGTAAAATAAGTACTTATTGCTTTAAAATGATAGCCACAGATATCATCCAGGCATTAAGTTTATATCTACTGAGAGTGTTCATATAAAACTTAAGTATATATCTACTGATGGTGTTCATATAAAACTTGACCTTTCCATCCTTTCAGTCTTTATCTCTTCACATATACCTTTGTATTTGCTGAAAGACTACTTTGTCTATTTGGCAACTCAACTTTTGGTTCATTGGAGCTAGAATTTTCACCTGTATATTAATTTTATTTCAAAATGACTGTTTTTGTTTTCCCAGATCTTACAGTATGCTCCATTGGAGCTAGACTTCTAAATCATAGAGAAATCTATTTCTTAAATGATATCGATCTAAGATCCACCAAAATGTTAACCCTATGAGGGCAGTTCTGTGCTCTGTTCATTGTTTATCCCACACCTAGAATGGCTCTTTACATCTATGGGAGCTACTCAGCAAATACTTGTTCAATGATTGAGTGAATCTAGTCCATCTATTTTGACTATATAAATTAATTATTTGATAATTATATTTCAACTATTTAACTAACAGTTAAATATATACATTTCAACTATTTACATGTTTGAACTATTCACAGGAAAATGCTATGACCAATTTCTTTTCTTGTAGCCTTTCTTTTCAGGAGACTAAAACTTCAATGCATACAATGCTAATTTGTTGTCAGCCTCATGACATCTTAAATAAAGAAAACCCTCTTTATCCTGGGGTTGTTTGGATGAACTTAGTGGAATGCTCAAAAACTAAAGGTGAACCAAAAAGAAGGAAGTCAATATAGTTCAGGAAGCTCCCTCCTCCTGTTGGCCTTATTTCGATTCTTCTAGGGCTATTTACACATAGCCAAATACCCCAGAATTGAAAATTAAAGCCTTTGGAATGTCTGGCGGAAAGAATATATTCTAGAAGTAAAACCTCAGACTTAGATTCTTTTGACTGTTTGGCATCATTATTTTGAATTTGCAATGTGAATGAGAAACAAACAAATGAAAAAGATAAAGAAAAAGTAAAAGAAAACCCTCAATTTCAAAGTTGCACATATTTGTCATTATTTAAAGAGTACATGTTAAAGGCCTAAATATTTTAAATAAACATTTTCTACCACAAAAGATAGCATTTTATCATAAAATTGGCATTTTTTAGACCATTGAACTTAATTTGAATGGACTAAACTTTGTCTCTTGGCAACCAGAATCCACACAAATTGGTAGGCACTTTCTCTGGAAAAAGATCATGCTTCTCAATATTTATGAACTCCTAGCTAAAGGCTGGCTTTACTACTGAAAACATCACAAAGTTAAGTCACCAGTATAGACAGGAAGGATTTTAAGTTTCTATTTTCTCTTGTTTGTGTGTGTGTTCAATTAATTTTAAAGAAATAACAGTGAGATTCAGATTTCTTTCTTTTTTTTTAACTTATTTATTATTATTATGCTTTAAGTTTTAGGGTACATGTGCACAATGTGCAGGTTAGTTACATATGTATACATGTGCCATGCTGGTGCACTGCACCCACTAACTCGTCATCTAGCATTAGGTATATCTCCCAATGCTATCCCTCCCCCCTCCCCCCACCCCACAACAGTCCACAGAGTGTGACGTTCCCCTTCCTGTGTCCATGTGTTCTCATTGTTCAATTCCCACCTATGAGTGAGAATATGCAGTGTTTGGTGTTTTGTTCTTGCGATACTTTACTGAGAATGATGATTTCCACTTTCATCCATGTCCCTATAAAGGACATGAACTCATCATTTTTTATGGCTGCATAGTATTCCATGGTGTATATGTGCCACATTTTCTTAATCCAGTCTATCATTGTTGGACATTTGGGTTGGTTCCAAGTCTTTGCTATTGTGAATAATGCCGCAATAAACATACGTGTGCATGTGTCTTTATAGCAGCATGATTTATAGTCCTTTGGGTATATACCCAGTAATGGGATGGCTGATTCAGATTTCTTAAAAATATTTTTAAGGACATTATTAACAGCTCAAATAAAGCCATTAATACATGCACATTATGATGATCAAGTGATCCTGGTTAAAATTGAGGGAAAGGTACACTTTAAAAATATGATTTAAAAAGCTCCCCCAATCACTTAACTTCAGAAGCAGGGCCCAGTAGCCCACCCACTCCTCAGTTTTTAACATAGAAATTAAGGTGGTAGCTTCGGCAGGTGTTATTACCAGGGGGCTCATGAGTAGACCCTAAAAAGTTTGTGAACCCTCTTAGGATTATGTGCAGCATTTCACATGGATGGGCACATATGCATTTCCCTGGGGTAACAGGCATCTGATTCTCAAAGGAGACATCAACAAAATTGATGGGAAGTTTTGGTGTAGGGAAAAGTACGTAAGACCAACATTTAGGAATTCTGGGTTTTAATTGTGATAAGGTGCTTACCAGTTATATAATTGTAGGTGAATCATTTCTCTGGGCCCCAGTTACTTCATCTGTGGTTACTGTGGGCCCCAGTTACTTCATTGTGGTTCCACACTTGTGGGCTGCAATAACTGCAACTCCAAAGAGTAGTTGTGGGTCCGTGAATCCATAAGTGCACCAAGCTTCATCTATGGATTGACAATCGTGTGTGTGTGTGTGTGTGTGTGTGTGTGTGTGTGTATGTATATATACTATTAATTCATAATGAGTGGTGATGTCACTGTGATTTACAAGAACACAAAAGCATTTTAAAATATCCTTAAATTTATTGTAGTTTTTGGTCACTACATGTTTTCTGAATCAATCGCTGATAAAATGACAATTATAAGTTTTGCCAAAACACATTGGAAGGACTAGTTCAAACAATTCTAAGCTGTGTCCAGCTCAATAAGTGTAATGTTTAGATATTTTATTAAATTTTCCAAAGGTGGGTCTGTGATTTTATGTTTTAATTTATAAGTTTCTGTGTAACATATACCAACATATTTTTAAAATGTACACTGTTTGTTATCAGTGCAGTAAATGGATAGTAAGAAACATGGATGAAATTTTTTTCCCTTATTGGTTTTTAGGGAGGTCTGTACCTATGTGTGTGTGTATATATATACGTGTATATATATATATATATATATATATATATATATATATACGTGTATATATATATATATATATATATATATATATATATATACACACACACACACACACACACACATATACTCGAGTTTATTTCTTTGGTACTTTGGCTGTTGAATATAAGATTTAGTTTTAGACAAATTTAAGTTCATAACTTTGCTCTTTCTCTCACCAAAAAAGTGGTCAAGTAAATAGACATACCTAAATTCAAATTAATCATGTGAAATTGGAATAATAATGACCAAATCATGGTACTATTGTTGCTCAAAAATTAGAGCCTACAGTCTACCTCTGATAGGTCCTTGGTTCTGGCTTATTGGTCAGCCTGCACTCCCATGGATAGGTGTACCCAACTAAGACTAAAGAAAGTTCTTCAATTATCATTTAAAGAAAATTATTTATTAAACTATTAAACTAGTTAAATATTAATAAGCCCAATAATAAAAATATGCTTTGTAAAGCAAGATTTAGACAATTAACAACATACAATTTACTTTTCCTCCTCATTATTAAACATGAATGAAATACATAAATTAAAATACATTTAATATGTTTAATTGGGAAATTTAGTTTTTCATATTTAAACTCTCCCATGTATATCCAAAAGCAAGATAAAAACTCTAAGGCAATTCTAATTTATCATGAAAAGCTTTTGTTCAATCTAATGGCCTATTTAATACTAACGAAAAGTCCAGCAACAGAATTTGGGTTTCTTAATGTTCCTTTACATGACTAAGCATCTTGTGTTATTATTCAAAGGTATTTTATTATCTTGTGATCTTAAGTTTATGTTTGTCAATGAGACCCACAAATTCTTCATTTTTAAAATAGGTAACAATATGAAATTAAATGCATTTATTACTTATTAGTGAAGCTCTATAAGTGGCTTCTAATTACATATGAATAGTTTGGTCAAGAGGGGCCTCAAAAAAATGAGAACAAGTTTTCCCAGTTCATCTGGACTGAATCATTATATGCATAAGTGATACATGTTTTATTCTCAAACACTTGGGTTTTGTTTAAGCACACCAAGGATCCTAGTTTGGCTGTTTCCCAAGTTTGCTTTAAAGTAAGATTATTGGATCAGACTGGTGTTTCAAAGAAATAAATCAAAATGTACACAGTCAAATTTGTTAGGCAGAAAAAAACTGTCATCTCTCCAAACGTTTTTTGGTGTATGTGTTTCTCAAGCTCAAAGAAAATAAGACATGCCAAAAAAGGAGCATCTGTCTTAATGTAAGTAAAGAAAAGTGATAAAAAATAATTTGTGCTGGGTGCAGTGACCTGTAATACCAATGACTTGGGAGGCAGAAGAGAAAGGATTGCTTGAGGACAGGAGATTGAGACCAACCTGAGCAGCATAGTGAGACCGAGTGTTCACCAAAATTAAAAAAAAAAACAACTTAGTTTGGCATAGTGAAGAATGCCTGTAGTCCCAGCTACTCAGGAGGCTGAGGCAGGACAATTGCTTGAGCTCAGGAGCTGGGGGCTGCAATGAGCTGTGTTTGTACCACTGTATTCCAGCCTGGGCAACAGAGGTAACATCCCATCTCTAATAAATACATAAATAAGTAAGTAAATTATCTGATGCATTATTCAAGGAAAAAAGGAAAGCAATTTTTATCATGTGGCCCTCAAATACAACTTTACCTCATATTGCCAACTTCTTTGTTTTTTTGAGATGAAGTTTTGCTCTTGTTGCCTAGGCTGGAGTGCAATGGTGAGATCTCAGCTCACTGCAACCTCTGCCTCCTGGGTTCAAGCAATTCTCCTGCCTCAGCTTCCTGAGTAGCTGGGATTACAGGCATCCACCACCACACCCAGCTAATTTTTTGTATTTTTAGTAGAGATGGGGTTTCACTATGTTGGCCAGGCTAGTCTCAAATTCCTGACCTCAGGCAATCCACCCACCTTGGCCTCCTACAGTGCTGGGATTACAGGCATGAGTCACCACACTCGGCCTCATATTGCCAACTCCTTATTGGTAGAGAACAAAAGTAAATAGATATATGAACCATTTCAATTCTAGATGAAGGGAAGTGTAGTAGGTTTTTCTTTAAAAAAATGGGAGATTGTAGTTGCTGATTTTATTATTTCTAGAAGTGGAAAGTATATAAAGCATGCTTTATACAATTATATTTTATATACAGGTATATAAAAATGGAGGACATTCTTTTAATGAGAGTTTTTTTAAATGCTATTATATGTGCTATAGATAAATACATGACTATTTTCAAATGAAAAGCTTAAAACTTCTCCTGAAAATAATTCAGTGTCATTTTTAGTGATTCTCCAATGAGTTTCAAATACTATATGCTATCTGAAAAGCATTACAAATAAAACACTTTATCTTACTCATTCAACAAATATTTTATGTACTTTGCCAGTCACTGTAATATTGAGTTCTGATTATGCTACACAATTGAGTAAAATATATACCACTTAAAGGAATACGCATAAAAATCAGAGAAATGACTTTATTAACACCTAACCATGCAAAATTAAAATGAACACAAAGATAGAGAAAGCATATTGAAAGAACCAAAGTAAAAAAAAAAAATCATCCTAATTAGAGAGATTAAGGAAGGTGCAAACAGACACTAGCCTTTGATCTGGGTCCCATTGATAAGTACAATGTAAACAGGCAAAGAAGAAACCAATAGCAGGGCTGGAAAACCATGTTGGGGAACCAGCATGAGCAAAGACAGAGACTTGTGAATTTCTAGCCCCACACAGGGCTCTAAAAGAGATAAAATGCAGTTGTTGTTGTTTTTCCTTTGTACCGGCTCTATATCATAAACTGAGAATTATTTTATTGTGGATGATGTCACATCTCACCTTATTTCTTATTTATATTGCCATTTGTTATTTCTGTATATGAAGAAAGTGGGCTGAAATATTTCTGAAGCTTTTTCATGGTTCACCTTTGAACTAAAATGATAGTATTATTTATATCTTCCCTACTGTCTCTGATATATAAACACATTGTCTATGTCATGAAAACACACTGCATGGTTCATCAATTAAGATATCCTAATATTTGATCTCATCTATTAGGAGAAAGAGTAGCAATTGAGTGCATCCATAAATAAAATAAACCTGACTGGTTTCAAGACTGACCAGTCTCATCAAAGACTGAAACACATAAAACCAGAGTCAGCAAGGATGTAGGGAAGGAAGCCTCACAAAGTTTTTTTGGGCGTATAGACTGGCATGGGATTACTGAGTTTACAGTTCAACAATCCATTTCAAAAACCTCCCTGTTTTCTATTTTTTATCTTTTGATACAACAGCTAAATAATGAAATTTCAAAGGAACATGTAAATGTTTTGGTTTGGGTATTATACTTCTGACAATTTATCCTGACATAATAAATTTGGATGCACAAATTAAAAAGAATCTTATGTTAGTATATATAAACACGAATATTTGGAAATTACATAAATGCCTAACAATAGTTTATTGGCTAAATAAGTTATAGTATAATCATATAATAACACACTATGCAGCTATCAAAACTTACAATGTATATGCACATAGTTAGCTAGTGATATGGAAATTTTCATAACATGTGTAAGTGATGCTTAGCATAGTTCCTCATATATAGTGAGCACTTAATCCAGTTTAGTTATTATATCTGCTATTGTGTCTGTTATTAATAAGTTGTTATATAAATATATAAAAAATAAGCAGGTTTTATATCTGTAAATACAGAATGGTCATAGAGAGATAAATAGCTATATATGTAACAACTTATTAAGAGTTGTTATATTTAGGACATGATATTTTGGTAATTTAAAAATCTTTTTTTTATGAATAAGAAGGGGTTCTGTAGACATTTTCCAAGGTTACCAATATTTCTATATCACATTGGCTCACTTCAAATTAAAATTCACTCTAGACAAAACAGTGTAACATGGAAGCTTCAGTTCCCTGTTGATTCATTAAATTAAGTCTCTAATGCCTGATGTTGCCAAAATGCCAGGTAGGATTTCATTAAAGACTGCCTAAACTGTAAACATTTTATTTGAAATTAGTTATTTTCTTTCCTTGACCCTCAAATCTCTAAATCATGTGTATGACCTTTTAACAAATCAATTTTATTTAGAAAACACACTATCTGAGATTCTTTTAAATCATCTCAGAGACAAGTCTTCCAAATGGGCAATTCAGAAAGGTCACTCATAAGTAATTAACATTTAAACTTTATATTACTTTCTATCTTTTAATAAACTCCAAAAAATTGAGAGGTTTTCAGAAAATACCTCAGGTCTGCAATTCAAATATTTGGGGCATTTGTTTTTTTTTTTTTTTGTCTGTTTGTTTTTTTGCTAAGCATATGTTTGATTTGCCAGTGGAACAGAATTGTGTTATCCTTCTCCTCAAGTAACATCTAACTAAGTGCAGGGTTCATAATTAAAAAATAATAATAACAGCAATGAAGGTGTAAGTGAAAGTACATAAGCTGGAGTTCCTCTATTGGTGAAAGGTCTTTGCTACATCAGCTGGGACTCTTCTGACTTATTGTTCATTGCTAAACTTCAAACTGATGTATTGAGACCAACTTAAATCAATCTCAACTGCTCATATATTCTATCTTATCTCGCAAAATCTATGAATGTGCTACTCTTTGGACAGATTTCTTCAATTTTTAACAGTTTAAATACTTTCAGTAGTGTTCTCAATTTATCACTCCATGTCACATATTCAATTTAGTCTTACTTGTAAGACTGATTTCGTTTGAGTCGTAAATCAATCTAACACCACACAATTGCATAAGTCAACTTTTACTATCTTAATTCTATCCATTACTTACTGCTGCACTAGATTCAAATCAATGAAACCAAGAAATCACACATGTTTGAGAATGTTACTTAATTCATTCATTTGCTTACACATAGGCTACCTAAATCACTCCAAGGGGTAAAAATAAAGTATCTTTTAAAATATTCTGCAGATAATAAAATTACTCCTTTCTTCAGTAAAGAGCTTGGAACATCTCTTACATATGTTTGATACTGAAGGAAATATAAAAGTGAACCAGACCTGGGCCTATTAAAATTAAAACATACCCTAAGAAACTAGCAAAAAGAAAAGGACTTTTAAGGACAGATAATAAGATCTGTCTTTATCTTGCTGATAATTTTCTTTCTTTTTAAAAGGGATTCGACATCATAAAAGTAAAAAAAAAAAAAGCAAACACAAAATCTTCATTTCACACTGCCACACAACTCACTTCTCTAATTTTTACTATTTTAATAATGTCACAATCATCAAAACAATTACTAGAGGCTTTCTTCTTGATTCCTGTATTGGTCTTTTAATACAGAAAGATTTTCAAGCTGTGATCTCTATTTTTTGATAATAGAGTTCACAATGAGCTCTAAGAATGTGTCAAACTGTCAATTGATTTCAAAGATAACCAAACAAGGTTAATAACTCTTATCTTCCGGATGATAACCTAATAACTAAGTATTGCACATCTTTAGTGCCCAAAGCTGCTCTATTTGTCATGTTATTTTTCAGGAAAATAAAAATGGCTATTCAAAATTTACATGATGCATTTGCACCAGGTGAGGGTTAAATCATACCAGGACCCAATGCTGAAATAAAAAATTTGAATAATTTAAGTGAAAAGAGACTCAAGTCATCACATAACATGGTGAGGTAGAAACATGATGAATGCAAAAGTATATCCAGTACTACATTCAGTTGTACATTGTGATTTAATTTCAGAAAGATAACATCCTCAATCACATTAACTTAATGATTTTATTTGAATTTTATTTTATTTTAATTGAATTCAAACCTTATTTGAAAATTTGCTCTGGTCTTATAATTGAATATACATTATAAATATTAGTGTCTAATTCATAATGTAATGGTTTTATATTTTAAATATTATTATAATAAAAATGCATAAGTTAGTGGCAGGATTTCAGGCAAATGTTTTTCTTTTAAAAGGAGTTGAAAATTAAGTCTGAAAAACACCGGACTATAGAAACAGGCCGCCAATAGACAATAAGGTTTGCCAAATTCTATGATCTAAAGCTTTCGTGAAGGAACAGGAAAGGGCAAATTAATACCTGTCAATTGCCTACTGTGGGCCTATTATGTCCCAAGCACTGTGCTAGGTACTGTTGTGATTAGCAATTTCATTTAATTCTCACATGAACACTGTAAATCTGCTATCAAACTGTTAATATCCCCATACCACGGGAGAAAAATTAGGACATATAAGGATTAGGTGACTTCGCCAAGCTTTCAACTTCATTAACAACAGAGCTGAGATTTTTAGACCCTGATTTTAGTTTTTTCCACAACCCCATGTTCTCTTCCAAAGCAATTGTGTTGGCTGTCAATTTTCAGGTTAGAAAGTGACAAAAATAAAAGGAATGTATAAGGTGACAAGAATGTTTAGAATAGTGAAGAAAGATCACATAGATGAAGACAAAAAAAATAGTGTGTGTATGTGTGTGTGGGTATAATTTATATATATATAAAAATAATCACTCTTCCAATTACTGACTTCCTATTTTGCATATAAAGAAATGAGGTTGAGCAAGTTACATTGCTCAAAAGGGGCAGAGAAGGAATGATCAATCTTGCTTGCTTAGGTCCAAAGGTAGTGCCCTAGTTAATATGAGCAACTGTGATTCTAAATAGAAATTTCTTTAGGAAAATCCATGAGCAAGGTGTGAACTTCCCCCATTAGGAAGAGTGTGATGGTCAAAAGTCCCTCACTACAACAAAAGGCAGCTTGGCACAGGATGAGATTCATGTTCCAGCCTCACTTCTTCAACGGATGAATGAAAAGGGAAATACTCTTTTTGAAGACCTTCAAAGGAATACATATTTTACAGGATGGATATCCTTCATATATAAACCACACATTTTAGGTTGTTGATATATTATTTCCCGTTAATTATATTTTTTGTTAAAAGATTTTTAAAAAGATACGGTCAAACATTTCTGAAAAGAGAATATTGTCTCATTAGTATAGAATTTATTTGGAGTAAGACTAATTAAAAATTAAACTAAATACAATCCCAACTAATCCTAGTCCCTTTGACAACATTTAGATGACATAAAGAATAAATCTATTTTAATGCTTTTGTCACATATTATTCTACAAAGTAAATCCCACAGTTCATTTTTCTAATTATTAATAGAGAGCCAAGAGGAGATGCTGATGATTAATGGAGTCAGGTACAAGACTACAGGCAGGTGTGAAAAGTGTGTCAGAAAGACTCGCGCTCAGATCTTGTCTCAGCCACCGGCAGCTATGTGACTTGATCAAGATATTTAAATTCCATAAGATTTAGGTTGCTAATCTGACTAGCATCTTCCTTGCAGGATGGTTGTAAGAGATTTAAAATAACAACATAAATATTTAAACAAAGGCCTAGAATTGGCAAGAAGTCAATGTATGGTGAGTATTATTATGAGCCAGATGACCATATTGTTTTAAGCCTAAGTGAAAACTTAACAAATAAAAATATTTATTAAAGGAAAAAAGAGGCTTGACTATTAGGCCAATAGCAGTAAGATTTATCTGGGTCATCAAGCTTTTTCTCGTTATAATGTCTCATACTTTCTTCTGTTTACTAGTATGTTTACTACTATGTGAAATAAAGAAAAGCTGTGAAAACCTGGAAAACAATGTGAAATAAAGTATCTTTTAACATAAAGCAAGGAAAGCTGATATAACTAAGCAAGACACATGGTAAGAACAAATACTTGATATGAAGGATGGAAATATGAATTGGATAAAAAGCTAAGTTTAAAATACCTACCTGTAATATTTTTAAACTGATAACCTTAAACAGTCATTATGAATGTTAATAAAAATATCATTAACCCATTTATTCATAAACAAACACCAAGATATAAGGGCACTGAAAAAGCCCAATCACTTTACCCTTTCAGCTAGTTTTGTTTGGACCAATTGAAATATTAAAATTGAACAGCCCAACATTGAGAAAGGAGCAAAGCCTGGACATAGTTTATGAAATAGTAATCACTTTGAATGCTAATGGTATTTTAGGTTTAGCTGTTTTAGGTTTTGAAGTATAGGAAGTGGAGGATGGAAAGATTAGAAGCTGGGAGATTCCTAAAGAAAGAGAAGTTCCAATACTGGCTATGGTATAATTTACAATTTATTATAGAACAAATAAGTAGCATTGTTGAAAGTAATTTAGAAAAACTCACTAAAACTCAAAGTGATCTATAACATGTTCATTTGAGTCTGGAATCTTTAAGAAAGGTGAGTATTGAGCTTAATTTGAGCTCAGAGGGACCAACTGGGTTTGACCTTAATATGTGGAAATGTTCTCATCATTTCTTGGATAAAACATGCTACCACATATATTGGCGTTTATGGTACTTAAAATCAAATAAATAGTAAATGACATTAGTAATGATATTCTCTGTATAGAGTACAAAAACCTTGTAGTTTGAGAAGTTGATAAAGTAATACAGTATTTATCTTTGCTTTACTTGTCTTCTTTCAACATTTATAATGACTTTGAAGTCCGACAGATTTCTCATTTTCTAAACAATGACAACACAGCCTTCATTCTTTCTGCTAACAATTTGCATAGATTCATGTATCGGTAGTATTATAACATATGAGCCAAATGAGAACAATTATAGTAAAGTTTCTCTTATCCAGCATTCACATGGCTGGATATTTACACAAAATACAGTCTTTTAACTAGAAAGAAACAAAATGTTTCCAAACAAATTCTGTAACACAAATTTGTTGGACTCTGCATGTCTTTTTCAAGAGAGCCCACCAGGCCCTCAAATACAGTAGAGGATCTTTTATTTTATAGACAAATTTTAAAGCAAATTCAGTCTTCCAGTTTCCAAGCTGACTGCAGAATAGAAGCAGAAAATTAGAAGAGGTGTTTGTTGTATTCACATACTAATACCTGTGAGCAAAGCCAGTGGATATGTGGGCAAACAGGGGAAGTAATGCATGAAATTGTATCTCACACAATCACTGTCATTTTCTAAAGAGGCAAACAGTTGTAATGATTCAATAACTTTAGATAGCACAGTTGAATTAAAATAAAATGTGATTACAAATATTTGTAATAAGCATGGTGCCTAGAGTTGAAAATAATGTATTATATACTTGAAAATTGCTATAAGATTAGATCTTAAATATTCTCATGACCAACAAGGAAAATGATTATGTGAGGTGATGGATATGTCAATTAACTTGATTTATTCATTTCACAATGTGTATATATATCATCAATATATCAAAACATCATGTTATACACTAAATACATAAAATTTTATTTGTCAGTTGTATGTCAATAAAGCTGGGAGGAACCAAATATTTATAATGAGGAGTGTGCTGGATAAGAAGCTCTTAGCCTTATCACATTTTACTCCTCCTAGGAAGAGAAGAAAGTATTTAGTATGACTTTGATTTTTGTGTTTTAAAGCAATACATTGTTATTTTAAATGGGAGAGACATCTTTTATATTTTTCATACAGGAAGGACTATATATCCATTATTTAGAAAATTTACTTAAGAGACAGAGCCTGATATTCAACAAGAAAAAGAAAAAGATAATTATTGGGTCTGTATTTAGTGTTAAACATTGTACTAATTCTTTTTATATACTTTCTAATTTAATTCGCACAATATTTTTATGAGGTATTACTTCATTTTTTTTTAAAGAAGAAGGTACACCCCAGAGAAGTCAAGTAATTTGTATAAAGTTACATATTCAGCAAGTAGTAGAACCAAATCCAGTCATTCTCATTCACTGGGTCCTCTGCACGAACACTGTTTATCTACTCACTGTCTTCTTATCTCACCTCCACATAACAGGGTTCAAGTAAAAGTAGGTCAATCATTTGAATGTCTTTTTCTAATGAATATTAAAATTGGATTATGTTTTTACATCTATATATCAGCACCAAATTTAGAAAAGCTTACATATATTTTTGATTTCCTAAGTTATATAAGGTCTGCATCTTTCAAGATGGTATCAAACAAACTGTCTCCATTAACATGTTCCAGGATGGATTCTAGTCCATATTCTCTTTTCTCTCCATAACTGTGAATTTGTACTGTTTTCTGCACTACTGATATTTGCCTAAAATGTTATTGATTGCAGTATATTTTAAATTCACAATTGCTCTATTTTTTATCTTCTGCAATAATTTTCCTTTTTCTTTGCATATTCTATATTTTTAGTTTATGACTAATTCATCTGTGGATGACTCAAGAATTCTGTTTTATTCTGGCACATCTGAAATAATTTCTCTTCTCGTGAGATCACCAAATATATATTCAAATTTCATTCTCTAAATGTCACCACTGAAGGCCTGAATTGTTTACTCAATTTTGTTTTGTTTTTAACTACCAGAACTTTGGTACCCGGTGTGCTTACTTTAAAATAATACTTTTATAATGCAAAATAATTTTTAATCAAGTAATACAAGGGTGCCCACATTAATCGTATTTTCATGAAACCCAAACATACCAGATGCACCAACATTATCCTATCATGGCTCCTGAAGATAACAGTAGAGAAAAATAGGCCAAATGATACCAGGACAATTGAAGCAAATAACTTTTAAAAGTTGTAATGTGTGTATTTTAGCTGCATATGTGGGCAACAAAGGAAGAAATCATGATCATTTTTCTTTAGTAATTCTCACTTGGCCTTTTAATGATATTTACTGGATAACTCCATGTACAGCATCATCCTAAACCAAGTACTCACATTTTAAAAACAGATAAGCAAACACAAAACTAGATTAGAATAATTATTCTAATATGATTAGAATAATAATATTCTAATACGTATGTGTGCATGTGTTTGGTGAAGCAATATGAGCACACCTGACATTTAGTACATAACGAATAAACAAATGTTGAGAAATAGAAAAGGGAAAGAAGTACCTGATGTCTAAAAAAAACTTCTATTAAGAAGTAGTGGCTTCCAAGTTGAAAAAATAAGTCAGAGGAGCATTGCAAACAATGGCTAAAAGTACAGAAGTGAGAAGTAGCAGACCATGTGCAAATAACTGTACATAGGCTGGGGTGGCAGTAGTTGAAACATCAAAGTATATAACATGAAGAGTGAAGAATTCAGTAATAAAAGGGATCAGATTGTAGAATGTCTTTTATATTATGTGTTATCTTGTTCAAATATCATTGAATGAAGCTTACTGATTTCTCTCACACCTTAGTGGCCTAGTTTTAAACTTCAGGGTTCTTAACACAAAATTAAATACGCCTGCCCAAATGAATCAGATTCAGTCTTCTATTAGTGCCCAGGCCTTAGGTGATATATTCCATAACTCTGAAGAAGAAACCAATTTTAATTTTCTTTGTGTTCTAGCATCTATTTGCAACATTATTTAAGTGGCCCATTTTTTTCCTGATTTGAAATCATCTCACATAGTGTGATCTCATCCCAGGTTCATGTTTTTTTGTTTTGTTTTTTTTTTTTTTTTTTGGAAGACCTTTTAAAAGCAATTCAGCCTCCAGGGACAATTTTTTTTTCTTTTCTTTTTTTTTTTGTCATTTGCTTGGGGAAAAGAAGACTTTTTAATGGGAATGGTGATGGGAGAAAGAGCTCCCATTATACAGTTTTATCTTTTGAACAATAATGTCTTACTACTCAAAATTAATATAAAAAATAAAACTGAAATTTAATAAAAATAAATACAGATAATCCTAATATGATGCAAAATAGTAACATATGGAAACTTTAATGGAATGTTAAATTCCATAAACATATGGAAAAATTAATTCAAGTAACTTTGAAATACATCATGTTGACTATAAACCTATGGGAAGTATAGCATAAAAATAAAAACAAAAAATATTGAACTTTGTTTAGTTGATTTCCCGATAATAGTCTTGGTGATGCAATTCTGAAACTACTCTGAGTATATTGAAAAAAAGTGACTAAACATACATATTTTGATAAATAACAATATTCACTATAGAAACAGAGAAATACAAATATCAAATGGAAGAAGATGAGAAACAAAATCTTGTAATGCTGAATTTCATTTGAGGTAATCAGTATGAACACACTTGCATGTGCACTCATATGTGACAATGTGTTAAGTGCACACACACAGTTTTCCCCCTAACTCTATCATCAAAAGGGCCAAAGCACAATGAAACAAGCAAGAGGCAACAAACACTCCAAACTTAGGTCTTTGTTTCTAAACAAAGATCTTTTATACTAATTTTAATTAGTATAAGTCATTTTATACTAATAAGAAACAAAGTTTTTCTGAAAATTGCTTATTTCAGACTGAGGCAAATAGAAGTACAAGGTGAGCCTGAAGCATCTTAATGTGCCAGAAAATAAAGAAATGCTCAAAGTCTAATGGGGACATGTGAAAAAGACACAGAGGTCAGTTTAAAGGCGACCCCATTAACAAAATTGGAACACTCTGAATATCAAAAATAATCATGAAACTAATGGAATATAACACATTTGAACTTAAAGAAATAAGCCATATATACATAATAATGAGAGAGAGAAAGAGAAGAGGAGAAAAGAGAAGAGAAGAGGGGAGAAGAGGGGAGAAGAAAAGAGAAGAGGGGAGGGGAGGGGAGAGGAGGGGAGAGGAGGGAAGAGGAGGGGAGAGGAGGAGGAGAGGAGGAGAGGAGGAGAGGGAAGGGGAAGGGAGGGGAGGGAAAGTGGGAAAAAGCTTCCTTACAAAAAAGAATGCCAACTGTAAATGTAGAACAACTATAGTAATAATTGACTTATATGGGATCATTAAAACATTGGCCTAACAAATGTTGTTAGGGAACATAATATCAATTTTAATTTTACAAAGTTTAAAAATTCCTTTACAATGGAGATACTTGATGGTCAGAATCTTAACCAAATAATGGCACATATATACCTACTGATGCGATGATGTGGGAGACATACAACATCACCAATAGTATATTCTTGCTTGAAATGTTAGGTGTAAGTTTATCTCATTAGAAGATAGGCCTTTCTATACTATAAGATATTCAGCAGGACAACAGACCAGGGCTTTTCAAATAATTCAATGTTACACAAAAAAATTCACGTGAGGAAGACTTGCTTCATGCAGGGTGACTAGGAAGAAATAATGCAAATATATACACCTTAATTGGATTTTAGACATAAAACCAAAAACAAAACACAGAAATGCAAAGACAAAACATAAAACACAGCCATAAAGGACATATTTTAGATAACTGGGGAAATTTGTATGGGCTGTGTATAATGATAGTAAATTAATGTTGAATTATGCTGTAAGTATGCTCAGGCTGTGTCAGAAAATTTTATCATTCTGAAAATATACACATTTTAATATTTATTAATGAAATATCATGACATTCATAGCATATTTTCAAATGATTTGGCAAAAGGGAAGTGTGTGGGAAGATGTTAACAAATGGTGAGTTTGGTGAGGGATATATGAGTATATATTGTACCATTCTTTCAACTTTTCTAGTGTGATTTGTCTGTTTCAAACTAAAAACAAATAGAACAGCAGGAAATACAATTTGACCAGTCTCATTCATCCTAAATCCCAGATAAGTGCATCCATTCCTTCTTCTGGGCATGAAAATTGCAGTGGGGACTGGCTTCCTGCTTCCTGCCAACACCAGTTTCTAGTCTTATGGCCCTCAAAGGTTTTCCTAAAATTATATATTCATAAATCAAACATAAACCTCTCACCCAAGAATACTTTCAATGGTTCTATTGCCCTATGGGAAGACTTTTAAGCTTAGTAAAGCTAAGTAAAGCAAAAAAAAATGGGACACAACTGAAGTTTGAAATTACTTTGATGTTTTGAGTTGAATTGATTTTAACAATATTTTATTTGCTTTTATAGAACCTCAACAAATATGTTTCAACATCATTGTTATCTCAGATCTATCACTTTTATTTTGTTCTAATAAACTACAGGATACAAAGTAGAATCGCAGACCAAAAATTTTGGAGAACAACATCCATCAAGCAAGCAACTTCAATTGTTCTCCTAATATGGCACCATTTCTTTATTCCTTCCAATCCCCTAGGAAGCCCAAGGAGAAGTGGTCCCATATGAGTACATTATTGCTGTTGTTATTAAATAACTGCTGTTACTCTGAGGCTTAGAGAGATTAACTGATGAACTCTGCCTAACAGGGCTTCATATAGGTGTCGTTAGGAAAGAACCACTGAACTCTAAGACCAACATTATGTCTTCTGTCATGCGTTAGGCAATTCCTTTTGATGTCTATGCAGTTTTACAATTTAAAGTAGTCATTTAATCAAACATAACTTTCATTTGTGAAGACTGTATTCCAGAACATTTCTCCAGACATCTAGAAATCATCACAAAATTTATCCAAGTCTCTCTTCTATACATTAGCTTCACAATTAGCAGCAATCAGATAATCTTTTTCAGATAATCATTTTCACCATTTCTTCTACATAGAAATGCTCCCAGTTCTGAAATGTGAAAGTCTAGGTCTGACTGTAATGGCTAATTTTCTATTGTACAT
This sequence comes from Homo sapiens, assembly GCF_000001405.40. Lineage (NCBI taxonomy): Eukaryota > Metazoa > Chordata > Mammalia > Primates > Hominidae > Homo > Homo sapiens. The sequence goes on along the minus strand of NC_000011.10, from coordinate 49,675,804 downwards.
ATCTATGGAAGCATACTGCTACTACTCACTCATAACATTCCAAAACAAAAACAAAGCTTATGGTCCTCTCCTAAAAATTCGCCTTCTTCTGAAATTTCCTTATCAGTTAATGATATACACCAAGCTCCCAAGTGGGAACTCTTGGTGCCTTGTAGGACTTTACCCTTTCCTTCCCACCAGCAACAAAAAGTAGCTTTAGTATAGGAGAAATAGCAAAAGAACAGGCGTTGATCTTAACAATATTGAATTTGCTTTTACCTCAACATATAGGTTTCAATATCATTCATATATCCAGATTTCTCTCTTTTTGTTCTAATAAACTACAGTATGCAATGTAGAGGTCCATATATAGGGGTCTTGGCATCCATAGCTACAAATTCACATTTTCACTACATGTTCAACCAACTGAGCACAGACCCTTAATTGTTTTGGCCTTCATTTTTGTTTCTCTTTTCTGAAATGGAGATGTCTAGCCTTACCTCAAGAAGTTGTGAATAGTAAACATGAATAATCAATGTCAAATGCTTGGCACTTTAATAGTGTTTGGCAGAAAATAGATGATCCTAAAGTTGTGTTGCCTAAAGCGAGATGCATTTGAGCTGCATCTTGAAGGATAAGTTGGTTGTTGCTATGACCTCATGAAAGGACTTTATTAGGCGGGGGAAATGAGAATTTTACTCTGAAGGAATAAATGATGTAGAAGCAAACAGGCTAAACTTGAAGCCAGAAAAATAGAGAGCAGCCAGATTATAAGGAATTTCCTATGACAAACTAAGGAGTTTGGATGCTAGAGAACCAATAAATGTTCATAAGTAAGAGAGAAATATAATGGAGATTTGTGTGTGTGCATGAGTGTGTTTGGGTCACAGTGGGAGAATTAAATAGTTGTTAAATTATTCCTTTACTTTATTGAATATATTCCAAGTTTAAAACATGATATTTTGATATATATTTACATAGTAAAATGATTACTATAGCCAAGCTAATAACATATCCATCATCTCATATAGTTACCCTTTGTGTGTGTGTGGTAAAATTACCTAAAATCTACGTGCCTTTTTTTTTGCAAATTTCTGGTTTATGACTCAATTTTATTAACTATAATTCTCATGCAGTACATTAGATCTCCAGATACCTTGTTTTTTTTAAAGAAAGATAGTTGAATGTAGCTTATAAAAAATACACTGGATTACAAAGGGCTTAAAACAAAGACTGAAATTCACTAGAATGCTTAAAATTTGTCAATTAGCCAGCTATGGCAAAACCACAGCCAACAATATACTGAATCAGCAAAGCCTGGAAATATCCCCCTAGAGAACTAGAACAAGACAAGGATTCCCAGTCTCACCAATCATATTCAACATAGAATGGAGTGCTAGCCAGAGCAACAAGGCAACAGAGAAAAAAAAAAAGCATCCAAATAAGAAAATAAGAACTCAAACTATTATTCTTTGTGGATGAGATGATCCTATGTCTAGAAAACCATAAAGACTCCACCAAACGGCTCCTGGGACTGATAAATAACTTCAGTAAAGTTTCAGGATACAAAATCACTGTACAAAAATCAGCAACATTTTTACACATGAATAACATTCAAGCTGAAATCCAAATCAAGAATGCAATTTCATTTACAATAGACACACACACACACACACACACACACACGCACAATGCCTAGGAATACATCTAACCAAAGAGGTGAAAGACCTCTACAGGGACAACTACTTCAAAACACTGTTAAAAGAAATCGTAGATGACACAAAACAAATGAAAAAACATTTCATGTTCATTAATTAAAAGAATAAATATTATTAAAATGGACATACTGCTCAAGGCAATCTATAGATTCAATGTTACTCTTATCAAATTACCAATGTCATTTTTCACAGAACTAGAAAAATGTATTGTAGCATTCATATGGAACAAAAAAAGAGCCTGAATACCCAAAGCGACTCTAACCAAAAAGAACAAAGCCAGATACATCACATCTTCTGACTTCAAACTATACTATAATGCTACAGTAAACAAAGCAGCATAGTACTTGTACAAACACAGGGAGATAGACCAACGGAACAGAATAGAGAACTCAGAAATAAAGCTGCACACCTACAGCCATCTAATCTTCAACAAAATTGACAAAAATAAGCAATCAGGTAAGGACTCTCTATTCAATCAGTGTTGCTGGAGCAGCTGGCTAGCCATTTGCAAAAGAATGAAACTGGACTCCTACCTTTTACCATATTCAAAAATTAACCAAGATGGTTTAAAGATTTAAATGTAAGACCTCAAACTATAAGGATCCTAGAAAAAAGCCTAGAACACACCATTCTGGAGATCAAACTTGGGAAAGAATTTATGACTAAGTCCTTAAAAACAATTGCAACAAAAACAAAAATTGACAAGTCAGACCTAGTTAAACAAGAGAGCTTCTGCACAACAAAAGAAATGATCAACCAAGTAAACAGACAGCCTGTCAGAATGGAAGAAAATATCTACAAACTATGCATCTGACAAAAGTCTAGTATCCAGAAGCTATAAGGAATGTAAACAGTTCAACAAGCATAAATGAATAACCCCATTAAAAAGTGAGTGAACGACATTAACAGACACTTCTAAAAAGAAAGCATACAAGAGGCCAACAAACATGAAAAAAATTATCATCGCTAATCTTCAGAGAAATGCAACTCAAAATCACAGGGAGATGTCATCTCACACCAGTTAGAATTCCTATTATTAAAAAGTCAAAAAGCAAAAGATGCTGGCAAGGTTGCAGAGAAAAGGCAATTATTATATACTGTCGGTGAGAATGGAAATTAGTTCAGCCACTGTGGAAAGCAGTTTGGTGATTTCTCAAAGAACTTTAAACAGAGCTATCATTCAACCTAGCCCTCCCATTACTAGGTATATATCCAAAACAAAACCAATCTTTCTACCCAAAAGACATATGCACTTGCATGTTCTTTGCATCACTATTCACACTAGCAAAGATATAGAATCAATCCAGGTGCCCATTAAAATTATGTTCTTTGCAGAATCATGGATGCAGCTAGATGCTATTATCCTAAGCAAATTAATGCAAGAAGAGAAAATCAAATATTGCATGTTTTCACTTACAAGTAGGAGCTAAACATTGAGTACCCATTGACATAACGATGGCAATAATAGAAACTGAGGACTACTAGAGTAGAGGTGAACGGGAGAAATAGTTGAAAAATTTTCTATGTTGTCTCTTCTGGATCTGTCCATGCAAAGCAATCAATTATTTTAGAGACCAAATTATGTTTTGTGTTTTTGACATTTTCAGAAATTCTTTCTTTTGTGGGGGTTACTTATTCAATCTGGCCTCCCTACAGGGTTCAGGGAGAAAATGAGAACAGGATGGCATTCACATTACTGACAGAATGCCAGTCAATGAAACATTATCTCCTGGAGCCATTCTCTAACTGCTTTATTATTTTTGTGCTTTAATCAGTGAGAATGTTTACTTATGGGGAAAATCTTTGCATAGGTAGACTCACTGAGGAATCTAACAAGTCTATCAGTAGAAAGATTTTTGGCTTTAAAAATGGATTGAACATATTGAATTTTTTAAACAAAGAACTAGGAAACATATTATAGACCAAACTTTTAATAATGTAAGTAAATGAGAGGTTATAATGAGAATTGTGAAAAAAAAAAGATTCCCTTTTACTGTATCACTTATTAGGCCTCACATGACTTAAATAATTTCCCCATTTTATCCTACCTCCTGCATTAATATTTTGCTGTTCTTGCATGTTAATGTTTATAGAAATTTCTATTTTGGTATGCTCATTTTTTTCTGTTGAAATATTTGCTGAGTTAACTCTGGTTACTTTAAACAACATTTCCAAAAAGCATATTTACTTGCCCGCCAATGCCTTCCACATAGGGATAAATGCAAAATCCTCACTAGGACAATAAAGTCACCCACAAGCTTCACCTCCTGACTCAAATGTTGTACTTACAAATACACATCATGGAGGTTTAGGTACCTAAAATGTGTTCTTTTTACCATTGTGTCCTTGCATTGTTAGTTTTTTTTCCCCCTATTATCCCTCTCTAATCTTTGCCTGGTGAACTCATTATTCAGACACCATCTCTGGCTTTAAGTATTATATTTGCTAACTACCCACTTATCTGTTGATATAGATTTAGTTGATTAATAAAATATAATCCATTATGCCTGGAAGAAATAATCCACTTTACTGGGTGGGGGGAGAGGGGTCACCAGGGCTTCTCTCCCCTTATTGAACAACCTTGTTCAGAGCTAAAGGAAAAGCAGTAAATATATATCTACTATGTTTAAAGTTCAAGAAGTCTTATCATCTTTCCTCATACTACTATTAATAATATAAATAATTTCCACAGTGTAAAGATGTCCCTTGGAAACAACTGTTTACTTATAAGAACAAGCTCTGGAGTCAGAAGTCGCAAATTGGATAGCGTAGCTGTTGGCTTTCAAATGTGATGAGCAGAAACAGAGCTTTCATGGAAATGCCTCAGAGGTGATTGGGAGAGTGTCAGGAAAATGGAGGCCAAAAGGATAGGTGGAGGAGAAGGGAGGGGAGCTTGGGATAACCTAACCTAATCTCAGCCAGAGAAGTCCCAATTTTATGGTTTACATATTGGCTTTCTGTATGACCGTCCTTTTCTTAAAAGAAGGAAAACAAGAAAGCTGCTTTTTTGTATGTTAATGGAAAACTACTGGTATAAACATTCTTACTGCCCATATTAGTGTTTTAAAGCATTAAGAACTTTATTCTGCAATTAATGAATCAGCTATTGGTATTCAAACCAGTTTGAGTCAGGTGCAGGTTTCTTTAATTAAGCTCCCAGTGTGGTTCACAAAAGACAGGTGGCTACAGTTTCACTGCTTTGCTCAAGGACGGCATACTGCTTTGCTCAAGGACGGCATGCTGCTTTCAGTTTCCACTGTTATCTAATGACTAGAAATAAATTTTTACCAATGATACTGAAAAATGAAATGGTCACTTTATATCCTTCTTTTACACCTTTATGAAATTCACCTAACAGAAGAAAGCATTATGTTTCCCAGTTAACTTAGGTCTAACCTGGCTAAATGCAAGGGTTCAAGTTTGAGAATTCATAAAATTCCTAGAAGTTTTATGACAGTACATGGAGATCATTCCTGTTTTCCTGTATTCTGTCCAGCTAACATGCACACACCCTTTTTATTTTCACTGTTAGAAATAAACTAATTTCCAAAAGAAAATATGAAATCAAGAAAGCTATTGCTCTCCTATTATGTGCAAATATTAGATTCCAAAGAAATAAAGTTAATTATGAAAACAATTCAAAATGCACAATAAAAGGACAAGATATGGACCTGAGAAAGTAATACAAATAAGGAAGAAGAGCAATTAAAGGCAAGTGCAAATAAAGTAATACAAGAGCAGAAATGAAGAGCAATTGTGTTCAAAAGAGGCGACAGACGAGAAACAAAAAATGGTCACTTCCTAATTTTACGTCTGGAAAGATATTACTGTGTGCCCCAACTAAACATGAAGCCCAGAATGGCTTGCTTTTTTTCCTCTTTACTGTCTAGATAGAAGGTTGATGTGCAGATACTTGATTTTCTGATTGTGCTCTGAAGCCACTCTCCTAGATGAACAAGCAGTTTCTAACCACTAAGAGTAGGATTATATAATAAAAGTACACTGCCTAAGGCATCAAACCCTGATTTTAGTCCAGGTGTTGTCCAGAGGGAGCCAACTTTGTTTCACCATGAGCTCACATTCTTCCAATTGTTTCACCTTTATTGTTGTGCTCTTCTACTTTTGTGCTCCCACAGCTCTGGATATCTTCCATTAATAGAATCCTCACCCTATACTGCACTTGCCTGTTCAGTATGTCTCTTTCATTACTGTAATTCTTATGAAGGCAATACGTTGTTCTACTTGATTCCCATTACATACCCATTGTGTGTCGTTTTGAAATACAGTAGGTATACTAAATAAATATTTGTTAAGTGAGCACATTTTACCATAAAACATACAACCATGAAATATTATCCTGGTTGAAGAAACACTTCAAGTAATTGACCAGATTAATGATTGAGACTGAGGCAGTGTTCCATGGGCAATTTATGAAGTAAGAGTTTAGTTGTTAAAATATACCAAATGTAAAAATAATAAAGCATAGACTGTTAAAGAAAGTTAAGGCAAAACGTAAGGAAATATTTGAAATATATTATTTTTAACATTATTATGAATGCATGAAAACTGTTATCTACAAAGATACTCATTGCAATATTTTTAAATAGCAAAAACTTTATTCAATACCCATACTATACAATAAGAATATAATCATTAGAAACAGTATTTTAGGAGCCAAAAATGATATATACATCAATGTAATCAATATGTAATACTTTTATTTTTTCAGATGGGGTCTTGCTCTGTTGCCCAGGCTGGAGTGCAGTGGCGCAGTCTCAGCTCACTGCAACCTCTGGCTCCCGGGCTCAAGTGATTCTCCTGCCTCAACCTCCCGAGTAGCTGGGACTACAGGCACGTGCCACCAAGCCTGGCTAATATATATATATATATTTTTTGTATTTTAGTAGAGGTGGGGTTTCACCGTGTTAGCCAGGATGGTCTCGATCTCCTGACCTCGTGATCCGCCTGCCTCAGCCTCCCAAAGTGCTGGGATTACAGGCGTGAGCCACCACGCCCAGCCGAATTTCCTTGTTATCTATTAGACACCATTAAGGGCAACTACTCTTTATTATTTACATTTTGTATCTGTGTTTAGAAAAATACCAGGAATATGTTCTATGCTGTACTGTTGATTGAAAAAAAAATAGGTAAATGAAAATATTTCTAAACAGAACCTATTAAGAGATATTTGTGAGATAAGAGTGTGTGTGTGTGTGTGTGTGTGTGTGTGTGTGTGTGTGTGTGTCATATGCACAGAGAGGGAAATAAGTCAAAAAGAGCAAGACAATACCAATGGTATTCTCTGGGAAAATTTTAGTTTTTGTTTTCACTCAGAAATACCTTCTTAAATTTTTGCACTAAAATGTTAATGATAAGAATAAAAAAAAAGAACTAGAAAATAATGTGCAAACTATTGAAAATAATACAAGTTTTTATAAAATGAGATCCTTTGACATGTGACAATTCATTATTAGAATGGCAAAAAGAAGTGCAAGACTAAGAAATTAGAAAAAATACTTCAAAAACTGTCAGGGAGTCCTCCCTGCTATTCCAAAATATTATCCTCTCCTTATTGCAAGAAAATGCTCTACTTCTGTCATTATTTGCTGTGAGAGTAGCTACCCAAAAAGCTATTTTGTAGCAAAACCAGTTTTATTGTTATCATTGAACAGAATTTTTGCCTCACATGTCTGACCCAAATTCCAGTGTGATTCTAATTCACAGGTTTGTCATTAGGATCAAGGGAGATACTACTTGTGAGAGAAATTGTAAATGTATAAATATATAAATCAAATGCAATCATACTCCAGTTTTATGAGACCATCAGTGTTGGGAAAAACTAGACTAGAAATCAGAAAATGAATTTATTTAGCAGAGAAAAATCAGTCTAAGAATTTTTACTTGACAATTTCTTTTTCTCAAATGGCAGATTAGTGTGTGTGTGTGTGCGCGCGTGTGTGTGACAGAGAGAATATGCATTAGTTTTTAAAGCAATGAATAGAGGTCTATGTATTTCATTTCTGCTATGCAGGAAAAACTGTGCTGAATTCAAACCTGAAAGAGAGTGGTTAACATATTCAGAATCAATTCCATTTCCAGAACAGTCTCTGCTTTTACAATGTTTTACTGAAGAACTATGAGGTAAGAACTAAGGTTGAAGTAAAAGAAAATTATTCTAGGGTTAAATGGAATATTGACAAATTAGATTTTGGGAGATATGAGAAGTTAAAGGGGAAGAACTTTCGCATACCGGGAAGCTCTGGGCCTCCTTGCAAGTGTGCAGGTTATATGGCCTGTCTTTCATTGAGCCTGCTTAACTCTCTGTTTTGTGTTGGACGATAAGAGCTGATGTGTCCTGTGTTTGCTTTTCCAATTTATCAGTCTCAACAATGGCTCATATTATTCCCTTGGGTTGACAGTTCAATAGAGAAAGAGCATAGTATGGTAGACACAGTGTGAGTTTTTGGTCAGAGAAATACTGTCTATTTAACAGAGAAGAAACAGTAGCAACTTGCTTATCCCCTCTGAGTCTCAGTTTTCTTTCTATAAATTGTAAACAACAACGTCTATAGTGCAAGGATGTTCTGAGGTTAAAGATATTTTAAGTACAATTGTTGGCACATATTAAGTGCCTAATAAATGTCATCATAGTTACTAGTTACTGATTCTGGCCTGGTTGTCTGTTTGCATGTGTATGTATGTGTGCAGTGTGTATTTATACCTTATTAAAGAAACTATGCATTACTTCACTTCTCAAGCATGGGTTTCATTCAGTCTATTTGCTTTTGACTGCTCCATATTGACTGTTCTGGTCACTGTTTCATTTATGATACAAAGAAGACACTTCAGGCAGAATTATCTTTCTGAAATGCAGTTCTGTTCCTGCCACTCTTCTCCATATAACTCATGTCCCAATCAACTTCTCAGGTGACAGCTCTCAGCAAAGTCTCGCTCTCTTCCATCATGTGCACATACACACAAACACACACACTCACACATCGCTATAATGCACCATGTTCTCTGCTTTTTCTTTAAGCTAACTCACACCCTGTCCCCATTTCCTGGGATACCCAGTCTCTGCCACTTTTCTGAAAATCTCCTATACATCTTTCAGGTTTCCTCACTGAAACGTTTTTATGACTTCCTGGACTCTCTAATGTGCCCATATAGCTCTCTGAACTTCCAACTGTCCCTCAGTAGCATTGGATAGATTGTAATCCCTGTTCATTGGTATGTCTCATACACTAGCCTGAAGGCTGCACAAGAGTGGGGTTTTTCTCCCTCTTCCACTGTCTCATTGCTGGTAAATTGTAGAGTAAATGGTATTGGTATGCATTCAATGAATATTGGTTGAATGTTCTGATGCAAAATTCATATCCCAAAACGTAAAGAAAAATTTCTACCATTAACTTCTCAGTACCGCCTACTACCTCTTGTAAATTCCATAGTAAGTTAAAAAGGTGAACGCAGAAAGAGAGCTTTTTTTTTAAAAATCCCCAGGAATGCTAATGTGGAAAGTCACAGGGTTTTTGGTAATGTCAGTATTTTTATTTTTCTCTCAATATGTATGTATAGAGGAAATCAAACAATGGGTATCCATTTTAAAAATAAATCAGAACAATTTATTTTCAGCCTTGGGCAATCATTTCCATTTCTTAAATGAGAAAAAAAGAGAAAATAAAACAGGAACTGTTGTCTATTTCCATCCATTATCCCGTAATTGTTTTTATCTGTAAAATATCTTCTAAAAGGAATATAGAGAAGACAGTAGGAAAAATAAAAATGTAATAGTTATTATATTTGAGTGTTTGGATAATGGAGGATTTTCCCCTCTCTTTTCTAAACTTTCTATAATGTTAAACTATCTTTAATGCAATGAATAAAATGAATAGAGAGTGAAGAAAGCAATCATGTTTCTGAATTACCTTCATTTATCCTTCTGCAAAGATAGTGAAATAAAAACCCTGATGTTCTAGATCAAATTTATTGCAGCCTATTACAGTACCTTGCAATTTGCAAGACTCGTGTTTATTGTTTATGGATTGAGGGTTATGAGGAAAGAGAAAGGATCAAGACACAAATATCAACATTCCACTTTTTAAAAATTCATGCATTCATTGTAGTGCATACACATCTACACACACTTATATGCATACACACACATCTATGCCAGTAGCTTAAAATCCCATACCATAGAATTGGGCAGATAATAAGCTCTCAGAATAAGACCTGGAGAATGACTAATTTGTTTCTTTAAATTGCAACAGCCTACTTTATCATTTTTTTTTCTTTCTTAAGACTGTATCTTCAAAGAAGCAAAAGAAGGTACATGAAGCAGAAATGTAAGCCAAATATATACACTCTGATGGCCCGTTAAAGTCACATATGCTGACCTCTTCTAAACTATAAAACCACATGAGCCTCCACCTTCATTTGTTTCCTCTGTCCTTGCCATAGGCACTACCACAGTGCTCCATGGGGCGCTGTGGCCAGTCGCTATCAGAAAAGCACATCTCCTTGGTATCCACGATATCAACATTGCCTATGTTGGATACTTAATCCTAATATCCATGCTGCTGAATCACGTAATTTATGGTGAAAAAAAATCAAAATGTCATTTAATGGAGAAAGAAAAATTGTGAAAGAATCATACAATTGAGTGCTTTATGCTGCTAAAGATATTTCAAGCAGTCATTTTCATAGGATTTTTGTAATGTAGCATCTTGTCTTACAAGGTTTTAAGAAAAGTATGTTACCTAAACGTGCATGTCTTCTGACCATTGCATGGAGAATAAGCTTCTGTAAACACCACTGAAAGAACATATTATGTTTTATGTTAACACGTTATATTTCATGTCAGTCTTTTGGTTCATAAATGGTGTAGATAAAATTACTGTTCAAAGAGTGGTTATCAACCTGCTGTTCTCCTTTCACTAAAATTAGGTTCATATTCTGGTCATTTCTTAGCAGTTTCATTCAATGTTAAGTCCATAGGTTAGCTAAAATGCTGTTTCTTCCCAGTGGAAGAGTTGGGAAAGCACAATACCAGTCATGTGGTGCCTTCTACATCAACAGTATCAAGACTGTTCCACCTAAGATGGAAATGCTGCATATCTTAAAGAAAATTAGTTAAGAATTCAAAAGCTTGTCATTGACCTCATGAGCCCTCCAAAAATAATACAGAGATACCTGACATTTTGTAGTGTTCTTCTAGAGAGAATGCTAAAAAGTGTTTTTGCTTAACATTTGTGTGCTCCCTAAGGTAAGTAAAGTGAGTGTTATTATTCTTATCACATGTTGTATAAAGAAAAACAAGACCAGAGAGAGTAAATAAAGGATAAACATTTATTTGACAGTTTAGTAATATAATCAGGTCTAACGTGAGAGCCCAGCACTGCTCAATAGAACTTTCTGCAGTGATATAAATGGTCTATAAATCTAAGCTGTCTGATACCAGTGGCTATTGAGTACTTGAAATGTGGCTAGTGCAACAGAGAAACTGAATTTTTAATTTATTTAATTTTAATTTTAATTTAAGAAACCACATGTGGCTAGTAGCCACTGTAGTGGACAGCACAGCTCTAGTCATTCCCCCTGTGTTCTGTCCTGTAATCACCTGGCTGATTTTGTTACCATTGTTGGGAAGCTTAGTCTGCTTGCTGTAATTGTTCTAACCTTAAAGCCTGGTGGTATGTATGGTACACTGGAACAGGTGCTCGGATGGGTGAATGTAGAAAGGCTTCAATGGCAAGGGCTAAGGATTAAAATTTAAAAGACTGAATGTAAAGGACTTTTAGATCTATTTATCTTTCCAAAATAATAAAATACATGGGGATACATTCCCATTTACTAAGTTCCTGAAAAATGATATGGACAATTTCTATAATGATTTATGGCCTGTCCAACACTTTCACGTGTTTTTTTTCCCCCATTGGCATTAATAGTGGTAATACAAAGCCAACAAGCAAGTAATTTTGTATTGTTTGTATACACACACAATCAAAAGCAAAGATAAGATGAGTAACTTGTTCAGTTACAGAACCAGAAGGAGTTTACTATTATCATTCTTCAAGAGTAAAAAGAGCGGGGACAATTCTTTTCAATCTGCTACATAAAATATTTCAAACAGTTCAGCTTATGTTTTAGAGTCATACATTAATCACTGATGTGTATAAACAATGACACTAAAAGATCTTATGGTGATTACTCAGGTTCAATGGTAACAGTTAATGATGATTATGTATGCCTTACTATAACCTCTTGAAAATTGGTAAATTTTGTAAACCATGCATGTTAACTCTTGATGAAGGCACATGTAATAAAACTCATGTAATTATAAAATTAACAAAAAATCTGCATTTCCACAGCATACAGAAAATAATTTGCCATATTTATTTCTCCACTCTCAACTTCTTCGTTAGCTTAAAATGCTTTTTTTTCTATCTAATTTCTTCATATTTCATCTACACTCTGATCATACCTTGTTCCTGTCCTTGTCCCAAATGTATCCTGAACTTTCTTGCTTCTTTTCCATTGTGTGTGGAGTTCTTTTCATTCAGAGTGCTCTTCCCACTTCTCCACCTACTAAACCTTAACATTTTTCAGCATCTAGATCAAATGCCTCCCACTACAGAAAGTCTTTTCTCTCATCAGAATTCATCACTCCTTGTTCAGTACTTTCTTAGCAATTCTGACCTTGATCTCATACTTTGCACAATAGATATTTATCTGAAAGTCTTGTTATTAGTTAGTAGTCTGAATGTACCATGAGTTGAAGACCATTTGAATCTCTTTAAAGTTCCTATAAGATAGGTTCTTAAATAATGCTGGTTACAAATTATTTTTTTAAAAATCCAGTTGTGAAACAGCATTTGTATTTTGTCTTGCTAACGTCAGATCAATTTCACAAAACAGCATCAGAAACTCAAACCTCTATTCAGGCATTCCTGATACTACTCACAAGTGAGAATCTGAAAGTGCAAAGCTTAGAGTAGCAGATTGGCACAGAATCCCCTCAGCTTGAAAATTTTGTCAGAATAAATAATTACCTAACACTTTGCCTTCACACTCTTTGCACGTAAAAGCTAAAGTGTTCAGAATGCAAATCCCTTAACAAAATTCCTAAGTAGAGCATCCAGAGAATAACATTAAAATCTTAGTGATATACGATATTTATCATGGTACACTGATTCTAATTAAGTGAATTATTTTGTTGCAAGTATTTTATTCACTTATTCAAGAAATATTTATTAAGCATACATCATACGCTAGGCATTCTGCTAGGCTAGAGATTGAATATAAATATTACATTGTTCCTATTCTCAAGAATTCATAGTCTCCTAGGAAAGGCACAGTATGTAGTATATTAAAAAGAAAAACTGAGCGGGCACGGTGGCTCACGTCTGTTAACCCAGCACTTTGGGCGGCCGAGGCGGGCGGATCACGAGGTCAGGAGATGGAGACCATCCTGGCTAACACGGTGAAACCCCGTCTCTACTAAAAATACAAAAAAATTAGCCGGGGGAGGTGGCGGGCTCCTGTAGTCCCAGCTCCTCGAGAAGCTGAGGCAGGAGAAAGGCGTGAACCCGGGAGGCGGAGCTTGCAGTGAGCCGAGCTAGCGCCACTGCAGTCCGGCCTGGGCGAAAGAACGAGACTCCGTCAAAAGAAAAAAAAAAAAAGAAAAAGAAAAAAAGAAAAGCGTCGGTACAATAACTTCTATTTTGTTCTCAGCTTGATCAACTAATCTGAGCCTATTTCTTCATCTGTAAAATGGAGACACTAAAATTACATACCTTATTGGGTTATTGTGAGAACTTAGGAAGCTAATGTATGCAAATACATAAAGTATTTTAGTCCATTGTTTGGAATTTAATAAATGCTCAGTAATTATCAGTAAGAATAATTGCAGTTCAAGGTGAAAAGTGCTATGAAGAAGGAAAATAGAATATACTATGCAAATGTGAAAGGATGGGACCTCATTCTGTCAAAGTAAGTTGGAGAAGCCTTCTCAGAGGAGGATTGTTGAAAGTAAGACTTGAAAGATGAGTAGGAATTTTCCAGGTGACATCACTAAGAAAGGAATGGATGTTTCCGATTAAAAACAAATCCTCAGAAGAATATATTCAAGAGAATTGTAAGCAGCACAGTATGGCTAAAGCAGAAGGCGGATGGAGAAGAGACTAAAGAACATGACAAAGAGATCTCATAAACATTCAGAGGAGGAGGGCTGTGGATGTATTTCCATTTTACCAAAAGCAGTGTGGGATGAAATACACTTTAGAGTGCTGAAGCATTAAATGAGAAAACAAGCTATAAGTTTATCTCAACAGTTCCAGGACATAGATGACAAGATCTTGAACTTAGTTGTAAACAACAGGGATGAAGATAAGAAAAAAAATGAGGATGTCTTAAAATGGTGTAATGATTGGTAATGGAGATTGAGACATCACTATAAAATCACAGAAGAAAGTATGTTCCTGTTTTTTCACCAACTTGCTGTAACGAAAATGGACATATAAATATATTTCATTTATTGCTGGAAAACTAACGGGATCATATCAGAAAGAATGAAGATAATTTCTCTCTATTAGATTGAAGAATATTGCAGGATTAGTTCATGCTTTAAAATGATCTTCCCCCATGGAGACAATATTTTTTATTTTTACTTTAAATAATCTTCATTAATATTTCATGCATTTTAAAATTTAAATAGAGTTTACAAAAAAATATCCAAATTTATCCCACAAAAGCAGAAAGGGAAGATTAGAAATCTCAAACTGTGCATAGTGTTCTAATTTTTAAATTCTATAATTGTGTTTTATCCTATCTCAAATTGTAGAATCTTTTTAAAAACTATTTTTAATTTTAGAAATTTATATTTTTTATACTACCAAAGATTGAAGTTGACAAGGTATAGAATTTTTCAACATCTAAAATTATCAAAATAATTAACTTCCAGGACAACACTTTAACTCAACTACTTCCCCAACCTATGCCCTCCAGCCACCAGAAAGAAGCCTTCAGGAGTCCCTACAGCACCCACACAGGTCCTCTACAGTTTTCCCCCTCCCTTCCTGATGCTGTGAAAACCACAGAATAAATGTTTATCACTTTCAAAAATATTATATATATATAATGTAAATGAATTTTTCTTTTTACTGCACATAATATAGTACCCTGTTCACCTCTCAGATAAATAAATCATAATTATCATTTTCTGCTTTTAAATACCCTGAAAATATAATATAAATATTACACAAAATCAATTTTTTGAAACATAAAAAAATTAAAAGAATTACAAAAACAACTTGTTCAATAAATTTTGTCTTATAAAATATCTGCCAAAGAAAATATTCTAAAGAGAATAAAAATGATTGTTCCTCTAAGGCTTAGGCTTAAATATTCACACATTTCAATATAAAATATAACTAAAGACATCTTTCATTTAGCATAATTTGTTCTGATACCTATTAGATAAATCAGTATTTGTAGTGAAGGTATTTTAAGATAAACCATTATAGTTTACAATAGCAATTCTCAAACTTTCTAAGTTTCATAACACCTTTGCACTGCTAAGAAGTATTGAATGCTCCCAATGACTTTTGTTTATGTGGGTAATATCCACTGGTATTTACTATATTAAAAACTAAAACACAAATTTAAATATTCATTGATCTTAAATAACCTATTACATGTTAACACAAATATTTCTATTGAAAATTTTATATTTCCATAGAAAATATAGAAATATTTTTAGTGTGAAGGGTGGCATTTTTCGTTTGAAGGGTGGCATTTTTTCTTACTTTGTTTTTAAAAAGTTTGGAAAGTGTCAGACTTCATAGAAGATAGTTGGATTTTTGTATCTATCGCATTTAAAATGCTGTGATACCATGTGTCAGAAAGGCTACAGAAAATTCTATCATATATTCATAAGAGAATGAGAAATAGGGATATATGGCATTCTAATACTATATAAAAATAGTTTTGACCTCACAAGACCTGTGAAAGCATTTTGAAAGTCCAAGTGTCTTTGGATCACATATTAGTAATTTCTGCTCTGCAGGAAAATGTCAATTGGAAGTGTAAACAATTTAAATTTTAGTAACTGAAAATACAAATTTTAAGATGTTTGTAGCAAATTTATAGAAAAAATAAAAACTGTGATGTCATGTTGAAATAAATATATTCATAAAAATACCAGTGACTCCATCAGAGACAGATATGTCTAAGAAATTAATATTATGCAAATTTTAACTAATAATCCAGATTTTGTCACTTTTAATGTTCAGATGCTGAACATAAAATATAAACATATTATAATTAATTTTATATACATTAATATATGTAATGTTTCTAAATAACTTTATTTTTATCTGCATTTTAGATTTTAAACTATCAAATTCTAAAGTAAACATAGTTCTACAGGTATAAATTGATAAAAATATACTGATCATCTGACAGTTATAGCTCTTTTTAAAGCAGTTTTGAGATACTCTATTTTAAGAACAAATAAGAGACTACTAATACCCTTCCTTCCCTGCTCCACGTAACAGTTTCACCTCTTATTTGAGAGAATGTTCAGATATTGACCTTAGTTGAGTCAGCCAGAGACACAGAGCTCCGGGTTAGAACCACTGCCTAGCCAGGAAGAGGAAAATGTGATAAGAGGTCAGTGTATTGCTAAAAATCACACTCCTATCTATGTTTAGATAAGATGAGATGGAATAAATCATGAAGGCACACAAAGTCTTCTTGACAGAAGAAAGTATATATACAGCTAGACTTTGGAAAGATTTTCTTTTCTTGTTTTCCATAGAACATTTTAAACTCAGTTTAACATATGGTGTTTAGCAAAGTCATCGCTGATAAGATGACATTTGAGTAGACATCTGGATGAAGGGAGGAAGCAAGCCATGCAGACTCCAGGTAAAGCATGTTCTCAGTGGAGGAAACTGCACTTGGAAAGGATCTGAGGCAGACTTGTGCTTAGAATGTTTGAGAAAGAGCAAGGAGACCATCGGGCCAGAGTAAGATGGATGAATGGGGCAAGTGAAAGGCATGCAGTCAGAGAAGTAGCAGGGAACTGATTATGTAGGTCGATTTATATTTAGAATGAATGAATTTGGGAATGACTGGAAGGCTGTAAAAAGAACAGAGACATTATCCAATAATTAACACATATTACAATTACTGTGTGTCAGGCTCTATTCTAAGTACTTTATATAAGCTTGTGTCATCCTCACAAAAAAAAAAAAAACTATGAAGTAGGCACATAAAGGATATTGCTAAATATTAAAAGGGCTTTGTGAAATTCTTCAGATTGACTTCCTAAACCACCTTTGGGCAAAGACAAATATTTCCTAGGAAGGAACATCCATTGCTAACTAAAGTTGAGTGAGTGCTGGTTAATGCTTGGTGCAACAGAACTAATATCTAATTTAAAAGAATCACATTAGATAGTCTTAAGAATAGATAGTAGTAGGGCAAGTGTGGAAGCAGGAAGATGAGTTGGGAAGCTTACAATACCCAGAAATTTTAGGAAACTTGGAAAAATGTGTGAGATGAACATGTTTGAGCTGATTTATCCTAGATTCCCCATCACTGCTGGTGACCTAGTAGAGTTAGTTGCAGTTGACAGAAATGGAAGTAAGGGAGACCACTAAAATGACATCACAGATCTGAAACCAAATGACTGTAAGATATTTTCCTTAGCATAAGCAGTAAGCCAAAAATGAATTCAGGTGAAGTCAACCATTATTTCTGATTACATTATATATAAAAATATTCTAGATGAAGCAGTTTTTAACAGATATTAGCATTCCCATGATATTGATAAGAAAACAAGTTCAGAAAGAAGCATGTATACTGAAGAACACATAGCTAATAACTGGTAGAGTCTGGATTTCAATCCAATGGTGTTCGACTTTGGGGTCTAAAATAACTGCTAGATTATATCACTGGCTCTTTAATTTATAGTTGCTGGGGGTCCTGTGAATCTCTAGGTGAGAAATTCTTCAAGAACAGCCTAAATAAATCAAGGAGGTTTAACTGGAGCCAGGTGGGGTAAAAGGAGAACACCAGAAGTAGGCACCATATATGAAATCACTGTTTTAGAATATTGTTCTTAGCATCTAGACAGGTGGGTAAACAAATGGGTGCAATGTACAAGCAGCTCAGCTGTTCCCAGTGATTTGTGTTTTGTCAAAATAACTCAGCCAAGTTGTCCTCAGTAAAAATGTTACAGCATTTTTTTTTTTGCTTGTTTTAAAAACACTGGCAAACCCAAAGAGACACAGCAGCCAAGAATTGAGGCTGCCATTTGCAACTGTGCCAGGGTCAAAGTCACTGTCTGTCCTTGGGTCATTCATTCAAATGTTTTGAGACCTCATTTGTCTCACAGATAAATGGAACTCTTGCTACTTATTCATTTTTCCTTTGAGATCCTTCAGATAATTTGCAATTTAATGAGAAGTATGGGCAAGATATTATCACCTTCTCTCTGCTAATTAAATTCTTCCTTTCTTTACTTCCCAAACTTCAACATAACATTCCAAGACTTACTTGACTATTCATGATCCTTTTCTTTTTCAATTTTATCATAAATT
Organism: Homo sapiens; assembly: GCF_000001405.40. Lineage (NCBI taxonomy): Eukaryota > Metazoa > Chordata > Mammalia > Primates > Hominidae > Homo > Homo sapiens. The sequence continues at coordinate 49,657,503 of NC_000011.10, read as the reverse complement.
TGTCACCTGGCATTGAGCATTTCCTTCATTTTAATGGTGATAATCCTTTTATGCATGTGGCTTGTCTACCCAGAGTTACTAGGAGATCCTAGAAGGCAGAACCAAGATTACATATATATTTCCATGTACACCCGCTGATCAGTGAAATGCTGTGTAGGAAATTAGAGCTGGCTGAGAATTCGATGATGGTAATGATGACTGTAATAGCAGTTACTGTTTATGGAGCACATACTTTGTGCCAGTCACGTTATATAATGTCTTATTTTATCCCCACAAAAATTTGCAAGGCATTTATTATAATATGATTTTAGAATCGAAGAAACTGAGATGCATAGATAAACTGAGATGCATAAGTAATGCATAAAAATCAGAAAGTCAGTGGCAGAGATATGATAAAAGTCCAGGCTGTTCTAACTCTCAAATCAGTGCAAAATGGCAGAAGTGCCATTTCAGTTACATATGTATGTAGGATCCATTCACCATGCACTCACCAATACACTTATGCATCAGTTTATCCATCAGTTTAATAATTTAGCCATCCACCCACCTTTCCTCCAAATATCCACTCTTCCATCCACACACTCATTTGTTCTTATATTCACGTATCCATTCTTCAATTCTTCCGTTCACTTACCTTGTCATCCATTCCACCACTCTCTTCATGCGTTCAACTAGCCATTCACTCATACACTAAATAATTCCTTCATATATCTACTCATCCAATTATTTTCTAACTCATCCATTTATTCCCTAACATATCTGTATATTGAAACCATTACCAATCTGTTGATTTATTCATTTAGTCACTGATTCATTCATTTATTAATTTAATAATTCCTGACATCTATCCATTAATTCTATCACCTATTCAACTATTTATTAAAAATATATCCATTTATTACCATTATTAAGTATCTTCTTTGTAGCAAACCCTTATTAGATACAAGGAACACTAAAATGAGTAAGACATACTCTAACCGACAGTATCTTACAGTCTGATTCAAATAATCTAGAAAAAAATAATGTGAGGCAAAGGAGAAAATATCTTTGTTGTATGGAGAGAAGCAGTTCAATAAACACTTACCATCCTGGCACGGTAGCTCACGCCTGAAATCCCAGCACTTTGGGAGGCCAAGGCTGGCAGATCATGAGGTCAAGAGATAGACACCATCCTGGCCAACATGGTGAAACCTCGTCTCTACTAAAAATACACAAATTAGCCAGGCATGGCGGCACACGCCTGTAGTCCCAGCTACTCAGGAGGCTGAGGCAGGAGAATGGTTTGAACCCAGGAGGTGGAGGTTGCAGTGAGCTGAGATCATGCCACTGCACACTCCAGCCTGGTGACAGAACAAGGCTCTGTCTCAAAACAAACAAAAAACCAACCAACAAACAAAAACTTACCAAAGGAGGTGATATACAAATGCAGGCTTAAAAGAAACAGAGAGGTTTACACGTTGGAAAACAAAGGAAACATTTCAGACAATGGGAAATGGTAAAGCAGATGCAAATTTACATTAAATAACAGGATATATGTGGCATACTGTTGGTCATTCCCCAATATTTATTATGCCTTTCTAATAGTAATAAAATTACTAATTAACATCTAGGCAAAATAGTTGCCCAGAATCAAATTTACTTTTTCAGCCTCACTAACTAACCATACAGTTAGTTAGGTATTGCCATTTATGTTAGTTTCGATCACTGAATGTGAGCAGAAGTAGTGTTTGCAACATCCGTGTTATGTTTCAAAAGGAGAAGAAGTAATAAACTTGCTATCCCTTTTATCTTCCTTCTGGCTGGAATACAGTTATGCTATTTAGCCATGTTGGACCATGCAGATAAAGCAACCTGGTAGAGGTGGCAGAATTATAGGATGGAAAAATTCTAGACCCCATGACATTGTGCCGGTCAACCTCTTCTTGCTTTGGCTTTTACTTTTTTTACCTTGTTTAAACCACTTGTAATTTCTTAATTTGGATGTTTTATGGTATGTGACCCTTTATTCTATACAATGGACTGTTTCACTAAACAAATATAAAATATGTGGCATTCTCTTTGAGACAGTAAGAGAGGCTGTGAAGATACAGATATCACATCTTGGAAAGCTGAAAACTCTCAGTACATTATGGCCAATATTTGGTAAAACTTGTCCTAATACTTGGAAAGAAAACTCCTTCCTGTGAGAGTCTATGCTCAAGAGGAAATGTTTAGAAATATTCTTATTCTTATTTTATGTTTTAGTAAAGGCCCACAAGAGATGAAGGACACTAGGGTGGAGATTTAGTTTACACAGATTGGAGACTCTACAGATCAGTGCAGGGACACACTCTTTATGTGCAATTTGTAATCTAGGTTGACTGAAAATTTCATTATTTGGGGCCTTATATATTCAAAAAGTGAATTGATTTTGTAACTTAGGTTGAAAAATAATATTAGGCAGCCCTGAAAAAGTACTTTACCTGGAGAAGAGAATATGGCACCAAGTGTTTTTAATTAAAAATTGTTAGTGAGACATTGGAGCCACCACAATACCAAAAATCGAATTAAGGATGTTATCTTCCCATCCAAACATATTATTTTAGATGACTCGAAAGATAGCTTTCATTTTATTTTTCTGAGAGTAACAATAGAATAGGCAGGACACAGAGGGTTTTTTTTTTAAAGACTAGACTCTCCAGACTTAAAAGTATTTTAAATTCTATATTTTGCTCAGTAGTTTTGAGAATTAGAACATGCACATTTTTAAAAAGCCAGGCAAACAGCAAGTTAACAAATTTTATTGAGCTCATCTAAGTGCTGTGGTCACAGGACAACCAACTGTCCCCCAATAAACAAATAGACAGACACCTGCAGGGAGAAGTGAAACACAGTAATTTTCCAAAATTATTGACTGACAACAAAGCATGTATCCAAGAAGCTGAGAACAAAAAGCACAATACATATCAAAAGTGCCATATCTTGGCACATCATATTCAAGCTACTGAGAACCAAAGACAGAGAGAAGTTCTTCAAGATAGCCAAAGAATGAGGTCAAATTATATACAGTGAAATAAGAATAGGAATTATATCCACTCTCAGCAATAGACTTGGCCTACTTTTGTATATTAAAAAAGAATTATATCGAATTATATAAGACTTCTCCTCAGAAACTGTGCAAATTGAAAGATAATAGAATGACGTCTTTAAAGTGCTGAAAGAAAAACTGTGAAAATTGCATTAAAAAGTTGCCAAGTTAACTCAAGTGGTCAGAAAAAGAACAATAAAACAACATTGAACAAATACAATATACCTAGCAGATCTGTATATTATAATCCAACTACATCAATAATAGCATTTTCTATAGATGTTATAAACACACCAATTACAAAATTGTTAGACTGAATAAAAATCTAAGGCATATAGTTACATTGTATCTACAAGAAACGTACTTGTTTTATTCAGTTCAGGCTGCTTTTACAAACACCTTAGACAGGGTGGCTTATAAACTTTAGAAATTTATTTTTCACAGTTCTGGAGGCTGGAAGTATGAGATCAGGTTGCCAGTGTGTTGATTTCTGGTGAGAGGCCTGTTGCAAGGTTGCAGACTTCCCATTCTATCCTCACATGGAGGAAAGAGGGCTAGCTCAGTCTCTGGCCTTTTCTTCTAAGGGCACTAATTCCATTCATGAATTAGGTCATGAACTCCATGCTCATGACCTAATTTCCTTCTAAAAACCCTACCTCCAAATACCATTACATTGAGATTAGGATTTCAACATATTAATTTGGGTTGACAAAAACATTCAGTCCATTGTACTACATTAAATATATAGCCTTATGTATGATAAAAGTAAAAGGATGGAAAGAGATTTGACAGACACACAAACCAAACAAAGGAAAGCTGGAGAAGCCATATTAATAATAGACAAGGTAGAATTTAGAACCAGGTATATCATCAGGAGTAAAAAGCTACACAATCAGGTCATTTCTCTAAGAAGGTATTTTTAAAATCTTAATTTGGTATGTAGCCAACAACATATGTAAATACATAAAACCTGTTGGTACATAAAGGAGACATATACAAACACACAATTGTAGTGGATTTGGAGGCATCAACACTCCTCAGTAATTCACAGAACAAGGAGACAAAAAGTCGGGAAGCTTACAGAAGACCTCAAAAATACTAGCTACTACTTGATCTAAGTGACATTTTATGCAATAGTTTACTGAAGAACAGCAGAATATGCATTGTTCCCTCAAGCATACATGAAACTTTCATCATGACAGAACATAGAACAAGAAATTCAACAGACTTTAAATTTACAAAAGTAAAAATCATACAAAGTGTATTAGACCATAACATAATTTAAATAGAAATAAATAATAGAAACATATCTGGGAAACCTTTAAGTACTTGGAAATTAAGCAACACATTTCTAAGTAACCCAGAGGTCAAAGAAGAAGTCTCAAGGTAAAAATATTGAACTGAATGAAAATGGAAATAAGGCATCAAAATTTGTAAGACACAGCTAAATAAATATTTAGAGAGAACGCTATAGCATTAAATGCTTATGAAAGAATAAAGACCTTAAATCAATACTCAAGTTCTAGCTTAACAAACTAGAGAATGAAGAGACAAACTCAAAGCAAGCAAATAGAAAAACTAAGAGCATAAATCAATGAAATTAAAAACAGAAAAGCAGTTTAAAAAAAAGCTGTGTTTTTGGAAAAAAAAAAAAAACTCTAGTCATACTGGCAACCAAAAATGAGAAAAGACATAAATACCAATGTCGGGAATTGAATAAGGGACATCATTACATACCTTCACAGACACAAAAATAACGAGGGAAAATTGTGAGCAACTCTATATCCACAAATTTGACATGTCAGATGGACATTTTAGTGTGGTTATACTGTTCCTACTCTACTGCTGCATTTTGGGTATGTTATAGGCCCCTGGATCATGAAGAACCATAGATAGACCTAATAAAGGTGAGTACTCATAACCTCAAGTTCATGGACTTCAATGGACTTTCATGAATGAGACTTGGAAGTCTGTCCCCTGGGTATGAGATGAATACGTTCTCTATGTGGAAGGAAGCGTACACAAATGATTTTGGCTGACCAAGGTGCATACTATGGCAGATAATTCTGGTTTTCCTTTAATATCAAGTGTTTTCTCCTCTCATGGAATAAACATGAAGTATAATCTTTAGCTGTGTGTATGGCCCTCCGGAATAAAGACTGTATTTTCCACCACCTTTCAAAGCTAGCTGTGGCCATACAGCTAGGCCAAGAGAAATGCAAAATGTACGTGTGGAATTCAATGTCATACACCCCATCAGGCATAGTACATCTAATAAAATTTGAGACCAATCTAAGTGTTTCAATCAGATGATATTTTATAGAAGACATTTTTACACAGTGACAGACAATCCAAGAAGCCAAGCATAATGAATTCCTTAATAGCCACAATTTATCAAAACTCACTAAAGAAGATATATGTGTTTGTATATATGTGTGTGTGTATATATATATATACATATACATATATATATATAAAATCTTCTGAAGAGTATTTTATCTATTAAAGATTAAAAACAAAATGACGCCCCTACCACTTATAGGGATAGAGGGATATATCAGTCCATTTTATGTTGCTGTAACAGAAAACCACGGATAGATAAATTATAATGAACAGAAATTTATTTCTTATACTTTTGGCACCTGGGAAGTCTGAAGCTACCAGGCCTACATCTAGCAAGTCGTTCTTGCCATGTAATCCTACAGCTGAAATGCAAGAGTGCATGCATGAGAGAGCAAGCAACAAAGGGGCTCAGCTAATTCTTTATAAGGACACTACTCCTGCAATAATGGCATTAATCCATTCATGAGGGCAAAGTCCTAGTGTTCTGATAATCTTTTAAAGGTCCTACCTATCGACACTCTTTAGGGATTAAATTTCAACATGAATTTCAGAGGGCATATTCAAGTCATAGCAACAGATAATATAATGAGTCCAAAAGCTAAAGCTCCCTGCTGATGGATGCATATTGAGAATTGAGTGATGAGGGTATGGGCCATTTGTCTGAGGCTAGAGGCACAGAGAAAAGGCAGCTTCTATGGAAGACGCACCAAAGACAGACCAAGAGGAAGGAAATACCTAACCTACCAAGGTCATCCATTGGATTATACAACAGAAAAGGAAAAAGTGAAGACTACACCTAAGAGCAAAAGTAGAGTGACCATCAAATTTACAGGTGAGTCATGGTTAGGCCTTCCCTTTCCTTTGAATTCGAATTTGGATGTGATGTCTATTGATGGTGGAGCAACAGAATAGAAAGATTTAGGACTGCTAAAAATTTAATGAAGAATTTTATGTGAAAAAGCCCAATTCAGGCTTATACAGAAATAAATACATGTCATACTAAAATCATTGTTAATTTTGAATGTCCAATACAGTAGTCAATCTGTATCTTAATTAAAATTAATACAGTATGTTACAATTAGATCTGGTCAGCTGGAAGAATATGAAAGATGGAGTTACAAAAGAGAGAAGGCTTAAACAGGCAGGAATATATTGTATAATTTCATTTATGTGAAATGTACAGAATAGGCAAGTCTAGAGAGACAGAAAGTAGAATAGTGGTTTCCAGGAACTAGGGGTAGTAACTGCTAAAGGGTTCAAGGGCTGAGCATGGTGGTTCATGCTTGTAATCCCAACTGTTTGGGAGGCCGACTTAGGAGGATTACTGGAAGCTGGAAGCTTGAGACCAGCCTGGGCAACAAAGAGAGACTTCATCTCTACCAAAAATAAAAATAAAAAACTTAGCTGGGTGTGGTGACTTGCACCTGCAGTCCCAGCTACTCAGGAGGATCGCTTGAGGCCAGGAGTTTGGGGCTGCAGTGAACCATAAATGTACCACTGTACTGCAGCCTGGGAGACAGAGTAAGTCCCTGTCTCTAAAAAAAAAAAAATAATAACACAAAGGGTTCAAGATTGTTTTTAGGGTGATAACAATGTTCTCATAATAGACAGTATAAGTAATTTCAAACTTTGAAAATACCCTAAAAAGCCACTGAATTGTATACTTAAAAAATAAAAAAACTAAACTAAAAAATAAGTAGGTAAGAGTCAGATAATCAAAGGGTTTAGATGATATGACAAGAAATCTTTAATTATTTCTCTTGGCTGTGGATAGCCAGGATCGGGCTTTTAGATGTAGTAACAATAAGATTAGATTTTTTAAAAGAAAACTTCAGCATCAATGTGGAAGGTGTATTGTAGAAAGCAAAGGACAATCCTGAAAGTATGACAATTATTTAGCATAGATAGGAGGAAATAAGGGCCTGAACAGGAACAATAGCAATGAATACAGAATGGAAGTAATGAACAACAGGTGAGGAGAAAACTAAGTGTATAATATAAGAATGCATTTCAGTCATTTAACTTTTGTTCCCATCAGTTGTGCATTCTAGGAGATGACCTAAAACAACTATGCTTTAAAAATTTTTTATATTTTTTCTGTCACTGATTATATATACATATATACATATATATATATTTACTTGCTGGAAAAATAAGATGCAAGTATCCAAGCATATGAGAAACACTACCCAATGCTTGGAGACATATTTTTATACCCCAAACTAAACCTTCTGCAGGTAGTTTTAGGTACCAAATTACCCTCTAAATTAAGATCTAACTGCTTCTTGTGGAATACATCAAATCTAATTTCCCTATCAAAAGAACATCTTTATGTCGGTGATTTCTTTACTGAAACCAATCAATGATCTCTTGGAACTCCTATTAAGAAAATGCTCCTGGGTACTAACAAAATAGAGTATAGCAAATGAGCTGAAATTAATTTTAACTTTATCAAATATGTGATATAAAGGTGTTAATGTTTATTAACATGGCTTAATGTTAATAGCTCTATCAAGGCTCAGATGTTTATAGCAGTAAGAATTCTGTGTGATTATTTTACATCTTTTGCTTTAGACATGAGATCATCATTAACAGGGAAGAAATAAACTGATGTCAAAAAGAAAGAATATGTATATACTTTGCATTTTCCATTGAAATGCTAAATTTCGTGCACAGAAATTCAGCACAACATATATAGCTTTATCTTTCCATGACTGTCTTCATACATTTTGAGTTATAGTCATATCAAGAAACTTGACTTCCCTTAAACACGATATCCACTGCCTCATTTGCCGTACTTTTATACGTGACATTCTCTCTAATGGGAGCACAATCTTATTCCCTGCTACTTTAATTAATACTTATTTTTTCCAATACTCAAGTAGGTATTACCTCCTGTGGGAAATGTTTCTTGATTTTCTTCTATGTCTAAAATGTATTAAGTGACCTTATTCAGTGTACATATAATATACTATGCATAACTATTCAACAGGTATAATATTATAAAGATAATATTAGTTTAAGATGTTGTGTGTGTTTGTGTAACTTGAATAAGCTTCTGTAACAAATAGATCATAGGAGGTATACTGGCTCCAAGATAAATGGATGCTTTTTTCTCACCTACCTAATAGTTCAGCGTGGGTGGCTCTGCTTCACATAGAATAACTTACGAAGCTCTGCTTCTTCCATCCTATGGCCCCTGCTTCCCCTAGATTTTCACTGAAATCTGCATCCATCAGGCAAGAGTGAAGAGGTAGTGAAGGAGATATAGCTTCTTCTTAAACGTCTTTGTCTGGAAATGGCACATATCACTTCTACTTGCATTTCAGTGGTTAAAACATCATCATTTGGCCTCAAGTAGCTAAAAAGGAAGCTGAAATGGAGCCTTACTCTGTACATAGGAAGAAGAAACACTGATTTATCTTGGACAGCTAGCAGCAACATTAAACTGAAAGTAATCAAACTACTACATTAGTCAAGCTTTGGGTAGGCATGCCCAGTGGGGACAGAGAACAGCATGTCAGGACCCACTTTGGGCCAACACATTGGTATGATGAGTGTCACATATCTGGAATCAACAGTTCTAACTGATCAATTTTTCTTCCTTTTTCTCTTTCCCTTTTTGAAAGTTCAGCTTTCAGGTGTTGTACACCATATGTGGACAGTACACCATATGTGGACAGTACACCATATGTGTACACCATATGTGGGAAGTGGGCAGTGGGCAGTGGTATGTAGGGGCCCAGCTACGAGCCAGCATATTAATATAGGGAAATGAAATTTTGGGGTTGTGCTTTCTAAATGTCCTTTTCTTCACCCTTCTTCCTGCCCTCTTTTACCTTCTTCCTTTCCCTACTTCTCCCCTTCCTTTGTGTGAGCTTTTAGCCAATACACCCAATATGGATGTGAGTCAAGGACACTGCTTTCTGCTGTCATGGTGAGGAGTTTGTTAACACTGGCAGGACTGAACAAATTAGGAAATTCATTTAGAGTAGTGGAAAACATATTTCTCATTGTTGAAAATGGGACTTACGAATATGAAAAGGAGATAGTTTTGGAATGCAAGTAGAAGCACCAGTGTGCACAATGATCAAATATGATAGAGCTCCAGTTAAAATTAAATATAAAAACATACAGATATACACATATGTGCATATTATTTGTATACATAGATTTGCTTTTTTAAATTTAATTGTTTTTAACTTTTATTTTAGGTTCACCGGCACATGTGCGGGTTTGACATATAGGTAAATTGTGTGCTGTGGGAGTTTGGTGTACAGATTATTTCATCGCTCAGGTGATGAGCATAGAAGCTAACAGTTTTTTGATCTTCACCCTCCTCCCACTCTCCACTCTCAAGTGGGCCCCAGTGACTGTTGTCCCCTTCTTTGCATCCATATGTACTTAATATTTAGCCCCCACTTATAAGTGAGAACATGTGGCATTTAGTTTTCTATTCCTGTGTTAGTCCACTTAGGATAATGGCATCCAGGTCCATCCATGTTGCTGTGAAGGACACGATCATTTTATATTTTATGGTTGCATAGTATTCCATGGTGCATATGTACAACTTTTTTTAAAATCCAGTTTATTGTTAATGGGCATTTAGGTTGATTCCATATCTTTTTCACTGCAAATAGTGCATAAATAGATTTTTTTTTATCTGACTCTCTTTAGAGGACATACATGTAATTACACCACAGTCACGAGGAGCACATATAGTATCCTATTATTTGTTTCTAGATACTAAGGAGCCAGAGCTTCCTGGGGAAGAGTACCTGACTCCAGGGCTGAGGCAGGGAAAATACAAGATGATCTGGTAACATCCTGTTGTGCCAGAGGTACTCTAGGGGCATGTGCAAAAGACATAAGAACCAGTTGAAGGAGCTTCCACTAGTCAAGTCTGGGACAAATTGAAATAAGTGATAATTGACATGGCAGGAGCATTGCCATCTTGGACAAGCACTGCCATCTTAAAGTTCCCCTTGATTAAAAATTGCCTAAATCCAAAGGGCATCAGCCTAATGGCTAAGGTTAGCATGACCATAAACCATAAATGACATCTCCGACCAGAAACGTTCGAACCGTAATATAAACCTCTCCCCGACCAGAGACATGCCAGCCCCGAGATAACCTCCCTTCCAACCAGAGACATTCCAACCCTGCCATAAAACTTCTCCCCCACACAGAAACATTTCAAGTCTGTAATAAGCTCCCTCACCCTAAAACCAATACATACTCTTAGCCTGTAAGAGAGAGCACTCCTGACTGAAATCGCCCAGAAGCCCCTCTCAGGTTTATTCTCCAAAATAAACCTGTCTTTGACTGTTGAGCCACTTTTTGTGTTTCTTTCCTCTTTAACTCTTAACAATAATAATGACCAGTTATAATACTTTGAGTAAAATAAGAATTTATGAGATTTTACTAATATAAATGGATACATATATAAATTGGGAGTGGTGCTGGAATTGGAAGGGAATTCTTCCATGCCAACTAATCAATCTACAAAGAATTATGGAATTAGGAGATTACCACTTGATAATCATCAGTGAAAACTCATTCAGGCAGAATTCATCAATGAATGCCAAATCTGTTGTGTAAAAGACTGATGAAAAATGGAGTATTCACATAGTCTCAAAGTAACTTTCCATCAATGCATAATGATTATTTATTGATAACATACTTATTAACTTTCTAGTGTAGAAATCTCACAGGCACCATTAATTAAATAATAAATGTTACCATCATCAATAATGAAACAAAATCAGCATGTATACCTTCTGATATACACACTGCAAAGAGCTCAGCATCACTTCTGTGGTATTCTTGCCAGAAACATACAAATTCTTAAATATAACAAACATTACAAATGGAGTCACATTCTACACAGTAACTAGGCTAATTTTTAAAAATGTTAGGACCATTAAAGACAAAGAAAAAATAAGGAACTATTCCAGATTGAAAAGTATTAAAGAGATTTGACAATGAATAAAACCACTGATTATGGATTGGCTAGTGGGCCTAAAAAGGGTATATCTGGGATAATTAGGAAAATGTAAGTGGGGTCTGTGGACCAGAAAATAATATTGCATCAATACTTATTTCCTGATTTTGATGGATATATTGTGTCTATGTGGCAAAATGTTCTTGTGCATAGGAAATATATATTGTAGAATTAAGAGGTATGGTAGGAAGAATAATAGCCCCTAAAGGTATCAGGTTCTGAAACCTACACCTGTTTAAGTGTTGTCATATGACGAATAAGGTTCTTTGCAGATGTGAGTAAGTTAATGATTTTGAGACTGGGAGATTATCTTGGATTGTTCAGGTGGGCCCTAAAATACTACCACAAGTGCTCTTATCAGAGAGAGGCAAGGCGATACTTAATCCAGACAGAAGAGGAAAAGAAAGTGTTAAGATGGAGGCAGAAATTGGGTTAATATGGAGGCAAGCCAAGAAACATTGATAACCAACATTAGTTGAAAGAAGCAAGGAACAGATCTCTCTCTGGAGGAGACCCCCATCCTGCCAATACCCTGATTTCAATCCAGTGAGGCTAATTTTGGATTTCTGGTCTCCAGAACCATGAAAGAATAAATTTCTGTTGTTTAAATACACCAAGTTTGTTGTAATTTGTTAATGCAGCCACAGAAAACTAATACAAGGAGTAATGGGGTATCATAACTGAAACTTACTCTTAACTTTTTCAAAACAAGAGAAATGTTAACAAGGAAATCTGGGTGAAAGTTATACAAGAGCTCCCTATATTTTTTCAATTTCTATGTAAATTTTAAATTACTGAATAATGCTTTTAAAAAATTTAAAAATTAGAAGATTAAGCAAAGGTTAAAAGCTATTGCCTGGATAATATGAAATGGGAGGAAGATCAACACTTTCTAGAGGGATTCAGACACTAAATATTCTACTATTTTATCCTCTCAAAATGTTGGCCTTTATCCTAAAGCTATTTATTTCCTAGTTCTAAAGTGGCTATAGTATCTACAGATATCATATTTGTTTTCAAGATCAGAAAGAGAGTAGAAAAAGATGATAAAGGTTCATGCCAGTTGAACCTGTGTCTTTTTATTAAGAAAGCAGATGTTGTTTTAGGTATCTCCAGAAAATATTTGTTTAAATCTCAGTAGCCAGAACTATACCCAACTGTGAGGGAAGCTGTGAAGGTGGGCATTTGCCTTCCCAGCTTCTGGAGTAGATATGAAAATGGAGAAAACAACTGAAAAACATCTGTTGAGTTGGCTAATAAACAGTGTTATCTCCCTGGCAAGATAGATAGATAGATAGATAGATAGATAGATAGATAGATAGAGAGATAGAGAGATAGATAATCTATATTTAGAGAGCCTAGCACAATGCTTTAAATATATGTTCAATAAATGCTTATATTAATTGGTGTATGTATGAATGAATCATAAATGGATGAATTAAAGAATCTTACATTCCAAGTTTATATTAGCAATGTGATTAAATGTCAGCTTTATTAGAGCATAGTTCCCAATATAGAATCATTTCAGAATACCTTAACACCCTAGGCCATCATTTGTGTTTCAGTTTGTAAGTTTTACATTCTATCATGATTTTTTGTCTCAGATTTTCTTTTGTGTGCCCAATTTTATGATATTACATTAAAACCATATCAACTTTTAGCATGAATTGTTATAAAAATCTCTTATCTCTCATCTCTTTAATGTCTTCTCTCTCACCCCATTAAATGAGGTAAGTAAGTAGGAATATACTAGAAAGAAAAATAGGAAAGACAAAACTTTGTAAATAGTTAGGTGTAAGAAGTGATTCATAAGAACTATTCAATCAATATTCTGAAGACCTTGTCTTAAATAATTGCAGTGGATGGGAATATCAAACACAGAAAGATAATTGAGAAGACTTATCACGTAAAACTGATGAGTGCTTTTTCAGACATAAGGAGTCTGATGTGTCAGTGGGACATACTTGTGCAGATAAATATGTATTTGAGAATCAGACATTTAGGACTTAAACTAAGAGAAGTTAGAACAAGAGATGTAATTTTGGTATTCTTCTGCAGGTAGGTGCTAGTTAAAGCTTGTGAATAGATAAAATTTCTCAAATATATCATATAAAGTATAAAGAAAGAGGACTATGAATAAAATCTTGACATTTCACAAACCGTGATGGCAGCCAATTCCAGCACTGGGAGAAACAATCTGGTATAGAGGAAGGGAGTGAGAAGACATCATTTCTTTTTTCTGATACAAATTCAATATGCAATTTACATTAATGCTTCTCAAACTGTAGTGTGAACAAAAATTATCTTGAAGTCTTGTTAAAACACAGATTTTCAGGTCCTATTTCCAGATATTCTAATTCAAGGGGTTTGAAAGGATGCCAGGGAGTTTGAATTTCTAACAAACTCTCACATCATGCTGATGCCTCCCACCTAGGACCACCCTTCATTATATCTCAAGGCTCTAAATTAAACCTTCTTACCCACAGTGTGGCCCATGGGCCAGAAACACTGGCATCACCTGGGAGCTTGAGGGAAATGTTAAGTCCTAGGCTCCAACCCAGATCTACTGACTCAGAAACTGCCTTTTAACATTATCCCCAGTTGACTCATATGGGCTTGAATGTTTGTGAAGCACTGCCATCTAAATGTATTATATAACATTTTGTTTCATTTCTGTTAAAATGGCAATGTTGGTCTCATTTTGATTCCAACATACTATGAGGTAAAAAATTAGGCTTTGAAGCCAAACATTGATAAGTGAATTGTGCCTCCACTAACCTTAGTTTCCCCATGTATAAAATGGAGATCATAATAGTGTCCTCCCTTGGTTATAACAAGAATGAAATAATGTTATGAATATAATGTGCCTAGCTTCCATTTGAACAGAGAGCTATGGTCTCACATTGGTTTTACACTTTCACATGAATATTCAGGTTGCAGCTAGCACAGGGCTGTTTGTGAAATTGCTTATTTGTTATGTTGGTTCCACCTATTTGATTAGTTAATTTGATAAATTTAATGATGCTTTGAGTGAAATGATTCCAGTTAATGATTATTGATTTTAACCTCAAGAAGAGGAAAATAAAATTGATTCCTAGGTAGTTACAACTTAAAATACATACATTGAGTGTGTGCAGATACTGACTAAATATAATGAATATTTAAAAACTGATATAAAATTGTGACCACGTTGGAGAGAATAGGATTGTGGCAGTGACAGTAATTAAAACAAAAATTGAGAGAAGGCTGCAGTGTGCTTCGGTCTCGTGAATCTTGCAAATCTACCATTTCTTCTCCTTTCTTCAATGCCACTTTTTTTATTTCTCAGATAGAACTATGGTAGCCTGAATCTTATCTTCCAAAGGTTTTGTTTCTTTATCCAATAAATAGATATAATATATCTAATACATGGGGTTGTTGTAAGAAAATTTAAAAATCCAAGTGCTGAACACAGGGCTTGGCAAAAAAAAAAAAATGAATTAATAATTGCTGTTATTATGTAAATTTTATCCGTAATAGACTTGAGGAGGAGGTTGATGATGCTGAGTTTGTCAACATTGTATTCTTTAGGATTAGTAGCACTCTATTATATACAGAAGCAACACTCAATAATTGTTTGCTGAATTGTGCATCCAGAGTAAGTTTTTATATTGTGGTAGTTGCAATTAAGCAGTAAATCTGACACATACGCAAATTTTTTTTTTTCAGAGATAAAAATGGAAGTTCTTTTACGCTGCTAGTGAAGACTTACTTCCTCCAACTCTTTTCTATAAATACAAAAAAAAATACTTAGATATGCTGATTTTTCCAGTATACTTAGCATATTACCCTTAAATAATACTGTTGGAAAGAGAAAAAATGAATAATGTCATCCCTAGTAAACTAGTCAATATTGAGGGAGAAACTCTCAGTTTACTTTAATTTTCTAATAGATCAAATAAAACTCTATTTCTCATGTGGGGAGATTTAGAATCTAGCAAGATTTTATTCTCAAATAATAGATTCATTTGAAGAGATTAAAACAAGTCTTTGTCAAAATGAAGGAACATTTTTAAATGAATTCGAGAAATTCATCCCAGGTGATTTAACATAAAATATTTTTGTTTCTTTTTTTTGTTTTATTTTATTTCATTTCATTTCATTTCATTTCATTTCATTTTATTTTATTTTATTTTATTTTATTTTATTTTATTTTTTTGAGACGGAGTCTCACTCTGTCACCCAGGCTGGAGTGCAGTGGCACGATCTCAGCTCACTGCAAGCTCCGATTCCCAAGTTCACTCCATTCTCCTGCCTCAGCCTCCTGAGCAGCTGGGACCACAGGTGCCCGCCACCACACCCAGCTAATTTTTGTATTTTTAGTAGAGACGGGGTTTCACTGTGCTAGCCAGGATGGTCTTGATCTCCTGACTTTGTGATCCGCCCACCTCGGCCTCCCAAAGTGCTGGCATTACAGGCGTGAGCCAAAGTCTTTAAAAAACTAAGTTCATTAACAAAAATAAAGTTCCATTCAGAATGCAGAAATTTAAATTTCCAAAGTATTACCTACTTGCTATCAGCTATGAAGGTCTTGAATATTTGAAGTGGTGTCCTATGCAAGAATTTGAGACTAGCTCAAAGTAAATGACCACAGCAGGTAAGAAGCACATTTCTGCAAGTGAAAGACTAAGATTTTAATTCAAGATTTCATATTTTGTTGCCCTGGATATTCAAGGAGAAGCCACTTGCTATAGAGGGAAAGACAGATGCAACAGGCATAGAATTACCTCAAAATTCTGTGCTGCTTATGACAATTGACATGAATGTTATTTGGCATCACAATGCCCTGGTAAAGATAGGTAGAGAGAACAATTACTTTCTCTTGCACATCAACACACCTCCCTTGTCAACACATACAAACTCATAGTAATCTTGCACAAAATTGTTTTATTACCTTTTCATTCAGCATTTCTGCTTATATATCCTTAAGTATATCATCTACTTTATTGGGTATCATATAGAAAACTGCGCATTTTCATTTGTAGTAGATCAGTTTCTGCTCCACTTGTAGCCAATCTTCCTCACAATTAGCCTGCTCTAAAATACAAGGTAAATAAGTCCTAGGTATTTACTGTACAAACATAGTGCCTATAGTTAATGTTGTACTGTACATTTAAACACTTGCAAAGAGGGTAGATCTTATGTTAATTGTTCTGTCACAAAAAGTAATAATAATAAACAAGAAAGCTGGAAGAAACTTTTGCAAATGATGGATATATTTATGGCATTGGTTGTGGTAATGGTTTCATGGGTGTATACTTACCTCCAAACTCATCAAGCTGTATCCATTAATTATGTACAGCAGGGGCATCTACTCTTTTGGCTTCCCTGGGCCACACTGGAAGAAGAATTGTCTTGGACCACACATCAAATACAGTAACATTAACAATAGCGGATGAGCTAAAAAAAAAAATACAAAAAACCTCATAATGTCTTAAGAAAGTTTATGAATTTGTGTTGGGCAGCATTTAAAGCCATCCTGGGCTGCAGTCGCATGTGGCTTACAAGGCTAAGGGCTGGACAAGCTTGATGTACAATATTTTGTATGTCAAGAAATTAAATTTTAAAAATGTTGAAAAGATAAAATGTTGATGTTGGAGAGAAAAAAAAGCAGCTAATATTTTGAGCACCTTGCATGTGCCAGTAACCATACAAAAAGCTTTCTGTTACGTCGTAGAATCCTCTCATTCTCTATTAGGTATCTATTATCTCCATTTTGCTAATGAGGTAACTGATGCTCAGAGTAGGAAATTTGTCAAAGACACACATTCCGTGAGTGGAAGAGCCGAGATTGAACGCAGGATTCCTAACTTCAATTTATATTTCTTTAAGATTGCACTCTTTGCTGTGTGAGAAAAGACATAAATACTATTGAGTGTATCAAAATCCTTCATATACCTCCTACCATCTTTAAAACAGTCCTAGTTTTAAGAAAAATTCATTTCACAAAGAGCCATAATTTTTCATCTTCTTGTTCAGCAATGCAGTTTCATTCCTGATGCTGCTATTAACTCTTAAATAATCTAAACCTAATGAATAATGCGAAAGTCACAGGCAGGTGAAAGGAGAATTAGGGCCTTGGAATTCTCCTGTGATGAGTAAGTAGTTTATCCTGAGAGAAACCAGTCTTTTAAAACAACAGGAGCCTCTCAAGTCATGGAGGGTCTAACTAGTCTCATTATCATGATTTCATAACGCCAGGAGGGTTTATTGAACTTTTGATTCCAAAATGTAAACAAAATGATCTTTTGAAACACTGGAACCAAATATTTACTGGAATAAGAAACTGCACATTTATTCTCTAACTTAAATATTAATACACATATCAAGTGATAAATGTTCTGTGAGTCTGACATAAATTTCCAAGTCATTACCTTACAGGTATTACAAAAATATTAATCCTTGCTAGGAGACTATCTTATTTGCGTCAATACCCTTTAGAGATGTCTGATTATTGCTGATCTGTTTTGTGAGTATACCATGCCATTTACTTTTTTTCAGGGCCCATCTTACTATTTGTAGAAAAGCCTTCAGTTTTGCCCAAAGTTGTCTTTTGCCTCATCTGTTTAATATTCTGGTCCTGTCTTTCTCTGTGCTCAGGTCTGCTGTTTCTGTGAATTCCTGTCTGTGGCTCTCCTGTGCTGCAGTAGAGAGAGGAACACTTTATACTCCTTTTTTTGTGGAAAAAAAATCACTTCCTAATAGGGGCTTGAGCTGAAATCAATGAGTAACTGAGCAGACATGTGAGACAGACATTAACATTTTTTTTTTTTTAACACTGCTGCTGTTGGGTCGTGGTCCTTTCTAATTCCCAGATTCTTATTGAAGACCTCACATTGGCCTAACCAGGGCAAAAATCTTGGAAATGTAAGGCATTCTATTGCATGGGCTATTTACCCAATAAAGGACTAAACAATTTTAAATGTTGGAGGTAAAGAAATGTGGGAGATTCTGAAGATATGATCATTGGGAGATAAATAGAGTCTTAGTGTGCAGAGGTTGGATTTTGCAGACTTCTATCCACAGACTAATTCTTCAGTGCATATTTTTAGAATTGCCTCCTAGTTTTATAATTGAAAAAACACAGCTGAAAATATTGGAAATATTAATCAGAAATACAATATCTCTATTACCTACTCAATTAAAATGGCTAAAAATAAGCATTCAAATTTTGGTAAATGTGTTCTGATCAGTTAACAAAAAATAAATTATATCTAGGCAATGTTTGTTAATGAAATTAAGATAGTCCTAAGTGAATGTGGTTTCTGAACATTTAGCAGGAGAGAGAACTATTGATGTCCTCAACCTAATGACTACCTCATATTGGTGAAATATCTAAAATCTAAGAAAGTTCTAAGAAATGCACTCCTAAAAAGTTAATTTAATTAAATAAAAGTGTTCTTATTTTTTCTAGTAGTTTTTCGATTATAAAAATGATATAACCTGGCCGGGAGCAGTGGCTCACACCTGTAATCCCAACACTTTGGGAGGCAGAGGCGGGTGGATCACCAGGTCAGGAGATCTAGACCATCCTGGCTAACATGGTGAAACCCTGTCTCCATTAAAAAATGCAAAAAGTTAGCCGGGCGTGGTGGCAGGTGCCTGTAGTCCCAGCTACTTGGGAGGCTGATGCAAGAGAATGGCATGAACCCGGGAGGCAGAGCTTGCAGTGAGCTGAGATCTCACCACTGCACTCCAGCCTGGGCAACAAGAGTGAGACTCTGTCTCAAAAAAATAAATAAATAAAAATAAAAGGATATGACCTGACCTGTAGTAGTTTAGTTAATAGTATCATACCAATTGTTTGGACAAATGGTGATGTAAAATATCATTAAGGAAAACTGAGGGAAGGATATATAGAAATTATCAGTACTATTTCTGGAACTTTTCTTAAACCTAAAATAGTCCCTAATCAGAAAAAAAAAAAAATGAGTTTTTTTAAAAAATCTATAGTTAGGAACTATTTTTTGCCCATATTCTCTTCTCAAAGAAAAAGATGTTAATCGAGGCATACAAGGTACTCTGTGATCTCTGCCTCTTCAACCTCATTTCATCAATGCTTTCGTGCATTTGGCTTCATCAATATATGCACGTGTTTGTTCTATGCCATACACTTTGTTAATATTTTAGATATGCCATTGCATTAAAACATTATATGAACCTTATTACCCAAATATTAAATATGAGGAAACTGAAGCTCAGAGACATTAGGTAATTTATCTAGTGTTACACACATTCAACGAAACATCAATATGTACAAGTCTGTGACTTCCAAACCTAGACTCAAAACTGTCCAAATTAAAATAATAATGAATCATTATACTTTAAAGTTAAATTTTTAAATGGCAAAAATTTCACATGGAAGTTTAATCTAGTTAATTGTGATCTTTATGCTATTTACAGACAAAACATTGGAATGGATTACCAAAGGATTGCTCTCCAAACTATGAGTCAAGGAGAGACAGTCATTCGTTCTGGCTGATTTAGACATTTATTAGTCAGAAATAGTATAAACAAAAAAATTATTTCTCTACACCCCACCTTGCCATAAACAACTGGGTTCTTAGTTTCAGATTATAAAATTGAAATCCCTAATTGATGTTTAAGTGAAAAGAACATAGAACCAGGAGTCATTGAACTGAAGTTCGTATCTCAGCTCTGCCCTCAAATTGTGGTTACCTTCTATAGCCCTCACTTTCTTGATCTGAAGAATTAGAATAAGTCCTTATATCAGAGATAGCTATAAGGGTTAAATTAGATCAGCCAAATAAATTGCCTACAGGAGAAATTGGCATCTAGGAGGCTGAATTAAGTTTGAACCTGAGCTGTATCTTAATATTGATCAGCCATGTTAGTTTTTTCTTCCCTTTTTTATTCCTACAATGCAAGATAACTTGAATTTTCTATCCTCAATTTATTATGATGTATTGCTCCAACGTGTAAAAAACCTTAGGGAAAGCAAAGTGACATTTCAAAATCCCGCTGTTGGTATTGGGTAACCAATATTTCTGCAAGTCAAATAGATTCCAATTTTTTGTTTCTATCAAAATTGAAGGAAAATTCAACAGATGATCAGCTGGTCACTAAAATTATTTTCTCATGTTCATCATGTGATTTTTAGAAAATAGAAAGAATTAAAAACATTCAATGTCACTGCAATAGAATTTCTTCTAGCCTACTTGTTCATTTATGTAAACAGTATTTCATAGCCCTTACATTTATAAAACAATCTAAAAAATACAAATAAGTGATATATAAACCTTTTGCTTACATAAGTCTCAATTCTAATAGGAAGTGATATTTATGTATGGATCCATGAATCATTTGGAAAAAGAACTCCACCCATTTTATAAAAATTTGTCATTGCCAAATTATTTTATGTGTAATAATTCTTTTAATTTGTAATATAGTTATAATGTTTTGATCAATTTAATACTAAATTATTTATGAGAATAACACTGTCCAGGTTTTTAAAATACAGGGAAACAGACACACACATATATACATGTATCTGTACACACAATTTATCTATTTTTTTGTTTTACACACACACAATAAATTTTTAAAAGTATATCTTACATTATAATTAAATTTTGTGAAAGAAATGTAATGAAAATACAAATTATAGAGGAATATTAATTTTTAACTGTTAAAATCAGTACATTTGTACTGATTTCCATCTTATATAGAAGCTGGCCGGGAGCAGTGGCTCATGCCTTTAATCCCAGCATTTTGGGAGGCTGAAGCGAGTGGATCTCCTGAGGTCAGAAGTTTGAGACCAGCCTGACCAACATGGAGAAACCTCGTCTCTACTAAAAGTACAAAATTAGCTGGGCATGATGGCACACGCCTGTAATCTTGGCTACTCAGGAAGCTGAAGCAGGAGAATGGCTTGAACCTGGGAGGCGGAGGTTGCAGTGAGCTGAGATCACACCACTGCACTCCAGCCTGGGCAATGAGAGCGAAACTCCATCACACACACACACACACACACAAAATTTAGCTAATCTTTATGGGCATGATATAGCCTCCTTTTTCAATGTTTCTTTGGCCAGGCATTCAAATTCACATTTTTTAAGTGTATGCTATAACAATAACAGACAAGTCTGGACTACTGACATAAATCTGTTGGATTACATCATTACAATTTTTTCTTCCTCATAGCAATTCTCTTACTACTTTACATTCACACACAAATAAAACTCTATTGTCTCCTTAGTTGTTTCTCAAATTTATCTTAATTGGCACCTAAAGAGTTCATGTGCATAGTAACTACAGTTATGCACCACCTATTGCCAGAATGTTTTGGTCAACAACAAATCATATATGCAAAGGTGATCCCATAAGATTACAATGAAGCCGAAACATTCCTATTGCCTAGTGATGTCATAGTTATTATAATGTCATAGTGCAACTCATCACTGGTGTTTGTGGTGATGCTGGTGTACAAACCTCCTGTGCTGCCAGTCTCACAAAAGTCTTTTTTTTAATATCTCATAAAATCTAACACATACAGTTTCATACAGTACCTAACACTCGTTAATGACAATAAATCACTATGTTACTAATTTATGTACTTCTGATAATATACTTTATACTTTTTATCATTATTTTAGAGTATACTCCTTCTGCTTGTGAAAAAACTTACCTGTAAAACAGCCCCAGGCAATCCATCAGGACATATTCCAGAATAAGGCATTTTTACCATAGGAGGTAATGGCCCCATGCACATTATTGCCCCTAAAGATTTTACAGTGAGAAAAGTGGAAGACAGTGATATTTACAGGTCCTGATTCTTTGTAGACCGAAGCTAATGTGTGTGTTTCTATCTCAGTTTTTAACAAAAAGTTGAAAAATAAAAACTTTTAAAAATATTAAAAAGCATATAGAAAAGGAATATAAAGAAAATAGTTGTGCACAGCTCTTCAATATGTTTGTGTTTAAAGCTGTTATTACAATAATCAAAAACTTAAAGTTTATAAAGTAAAAAAGTTACAGTAAGTTTATTATTGAAAAAAGGTGTTTTAATAAATTTAGTATGGCTTAAGTTTACTGTGTTTATAAAGTCTACAGTAGTACACAGTAATGTCCTGGGCCTTCACATTCACTTGCCACTCACCAACTCACCAGAGCTACTTCTAATCTTTCAAGCTTCGTTCATGGTAAATGCCCTATACGGGTGTACCATTTTTTATCTTTTATATTGTATTTTTACTGTACCTTTTCTATGTTTATACATGTAAACACTTTACATTTTGTTACAATTGCCTATAGTTTTCACTACAGTAATAGGCTGTACAGATTTGTAGCCTAGGAGAAATAGGCCATACCACATAGTGTAAGTGTAGCGTAGGCTATCCCATCTAGGTTTATGTAAGTACACGTTATGATGTTCACAGGATGAAACTGCCTAACGTTGCATTTTTCAGAAAGTATTTCCATTGTTAAGTGACATATGACTATAAATGTATATTATGCCGCTAGTTAGCCATATCTTTATTCTCTTAACTCTGATAATTACCTTCCTAAATTTAAATAAAGATTATAAAATTAGAATAAATGATATTCACTTTAAACTTGTAAGACCTATATATTTTTAATCAAAAAGGGTTAAAAGTTTATGTAACATTCAAATGGTTTATTAAAGCTATAGGAGAAAGAAAGGTATTTATTTGAATTACAGCACTGCTGGGGAAACAGAGAGAGAGCACTTGGATGTTTTCATTTTCCAGGGCATCATATACTAAAGAATCATTCCATCTAATTTCTTCAAATCTCAAGAACACACACCTGGCAAATTATGAAAATAAATCTTATGTTGTTATCAATGATATTTTTGAATGCCATTTTAATAATTTGACTCACTTTTTTTCTAATCACACTATTATGTGTATCATCAATCTGGTACTCAATTTTACTCCATTCTGCTTAATCATTTATTAATGGTCCTTTGATACCAGGTCCAGTCTAAGAAATAAATACACAAGAGCCATAAATGCCACTCTAAAGGAATAAAGCCTGCCATCCCACTCTCACACCCAGTTCTCTTAATCTCACCATGTTTTTTAAGATTTGGTTGCAGTATCATCATTTCTCTGGAAAAACTATTTTCATACCACAATTCTAAAGGTTAGATGCCATAACTCATGCTCCTACATATATAACCAATTTTGTTTATTTATTTTTCCCCAGACTCTGGCAGATTTTAGGTACATAATAAAAATCCTTAGAATGACTTCATTTCAGTCATAATTAAGAGAATGGATAAAATTATAGGTGATTCTTCTGAGTATAAACTAAGAGTCAAGCTATTAGAGAAGCATTCCCTAAAGCAATCAAGATAACTAAAGGCACAATTTATTGTCTGTGGATCTCAGTAGAGCTTACCCCATGAGTCCTTGTATATTGATCTCATGAAACCTCATGTATGCTTGGGACTATGTTTTAATAAACAACACTTTCTGACATAAAAAATTATTAATCAAAATGAAGTCCTAATCATACCAAGAACACCAAATGTTTCACTTTTCCATAGTAAGTTTAAATTAAGCAGTTTTCAAACATGGCCAAGGATGCCTTTGGTGTCCCCAAGACACTTTCAGAGGATCTGCAATGTCAGTATTATTATCATAGCAATACTAAAGCATTGTTTGTCCTTTTCTACTGTATGGACGCTTGCAGATGCAAGTATGCACATCAATCTATGTCCAATAGGGTTAGCTAACAAAATAATACAAGTGAAAATCAGAGTAAGTTATCAAAACATAACTGCTAGTGTGTCTAAAATGCAAAATTACAACATCAATCATTTATATATTGCTGATGGTAGTATAAAATGGTATGCCCAACTCTGGAAAACATTTTGGCAGTTTCTTAACAATAATAAATAATAAATAAACATTCCACTACCATACAACCCACCAATTGCAATCCTGGGCATTTATCCTAAAAAATGAAAAATTATATTTACATATAAATGTGTACACAAATGATTATGGCAGGCTTATTACAGATATCCTTAAATGGATGAACGTTTAAATGACTACGGTACATCCATCTCATGGAGTACTATTAGGTAACAAAAAAGAACAACCTATTGATACTAATATATACAACAACTAATATAATCTCTAGAGAGTTATGCTAAGTTAAAAAGCCAAAGGTCATATATTGTATGGTTCAATTTATACAACATTCTTGAAATGACAATATTATAGAAATGGAGAACAGATTGGTGGTTGACAAGGTTCAGAAAAAAGAGAAAATGGAGGAAGTGGGCGTGGCTATAAAAGGATAACATGAGGTTTCCTAGTGGTGATGGAACACTTCTCTTTCTTAACTGTATTAATGTCAATATCCTGGTGGTGATTTTATACTATAATTTTGCATTTGTATATTTTCTTTGGAAAGAAGTCTTTGGGAAAAAATGTTTATTCAACTCTTTTGCTTATTTTTATTTGGGTTACTTGTTCTTTGCTACTAAGTTGTATGGGTCCCTTATACATTTTGGGTATTAATCCCTTCCTAGATATGTGGTTTGCAAATATCTTCTTCCAAGCCATAGGTTGCCTTTTTATTTTGTTGCTTGTTTCCTTTGCTGTACTGAAATTTTGGTTTAATATATTCAGATGAGTTTATTTTTGCTTTTTTTTTTTTTTGCTTGCACTCTTGGTATCATATCCTCCCCCAAAAATCACTGGGAAGACCAATTTCAAGAATCTTTCCCTCTAGTTTTCCTATAGAAGTTTTATGTTTTCACATCTCATATTTAAGTCTTTAATCCACTTCTAGTTAATTTTTGTATGTAAGACAAGAGTCCAGGCCTGGCGTGGTGGCTCATGCCTGTAATCCCATCACTTTGGGAGGCTCAGGTGGGCGGATCAGGAGGTCAGGAGATCAAGATCATCCTATCTAACACGGTGAAACCCCGCCTCTACTGAAAATACAAAAAAATTAGCTGGGCATGGTGGTGGGTGCCTGTAGTCCTAGCTCCTCCATAGGCTAAGGCAGAAGAATGGCATGAGTCCAGGAGGCAGAGCTTGCAGTGAGCCAAGATCGTGCCACTGCACTCCAGCCTGGAGGACAGAGTGAGACTCTGTCTCAAAAAAAAAAAAAAAAAAAAGAAAGACAAGTGTCCAGTTTCATATTCTTTTCTATATGGATATGGATATCCATTTTTCCCAGTGGCAGTTATTGAAGAGACTTTTCTTCCATCATTGTGTGTTCTTGGTACCCTTATTAAAGATTAGTTGACCATATATGTGTGTTTAACTCTGGTCTCTCTATTTTGTGCTATTAGTAAATATGTCTGTTTTCAACTGAGTACCATACGTTCTAAATTATAGTAGCTTTGTAATATAGTTTGAAATCAAGGAATGTGATGCCTCCAGCTTTGATCTTCCTCAAAATTGCTTTGGCTATTCAGAGTCTTTTTTTGGTTCTCAAAGATAAACTGTTTTTGTGTAAAGGTAATGTAATATTATATATAGAAAACCCTAAAGACTCCACTGAAAAGATATGAGAACTATAAATGAATTCAGTAAATTTTTTTTCTGGTTTTATTTCTGGTGTTTTTAGTTTGTTTGTTTTTTGAGACAGGGTCTCACTCTGTTGTCCAGGCTGGAGTGCAGTGATGTAATCATGGCTCACTGCAGCCCTGAGATGCAGTGATGAAGTGATCCTCCCACGTTAGCCTCCTGAGTAAGTGGAATGACAGGCATGAGCCACCATACCCAACCAGTTTTTTTTGACTTTTTGTAGTTACCTCCATATGTTGCCCAGGCTGGTCTCAAGCTCCTAGGCTCAAGCAGCTCTCTCGCTTTGGCCTCCAAAAGTACTGGGATTACTGATACAAAGCACTGTACCAACCTCAGTAAAGTTTTATAATATAAAAGCAATATACAAAAATCAGCAGCATTCAGTCACTAACAATGGACTATCCCCCCAAAAAAATAAGAATATAATTTTATTTACAATAGAAAATAAGATTATAAAATAACTATAAAAAGAATTAAATGCTTGGAAATATATTTAACCAAGGAGGTAGGAGATATATACAAGGAAAACAATGAGACACTGATGAAAGATATTTAAAAAAGACACAAATAAATTAACAGATATCCTGAGTTCATGGATTAGAAGAACTAATATTGTTAAAATGTTAATATTACTCAAAGCAATCTACACATTAAATGCAATCCCTATCAAAATTCCAATAGCATTTTTCACAAAAAGAGAGAAAGTATTTTTCTCTGGCACCTGGTAAGGTGCCTGACACAAAAACCCATTATTATTATTTATCACTTTAACTGATTATATATATATATATAATATATATATATATATTACAATTGCTTCAAAGTATTGATATGACAATAATATAGACATTGTGAATCCTCTGAGAGAATCTTGGAGACACCAGAGTTAGCCATGGTCATTCTTTGAAAGCCACTGAATTAAAGCATTACAGAAAAACAAAACAACAACAAAAAAAAACAGTAAAACACTTCGTTGGTGTTCCCGGGATGATTTGGATTTAACTCAGGTTAAGATTTTAATTTACTTTATATCAGAAAGTTCTTTTTGATTTGTTTTGTTTTGTTTTTTTACAAAACCATTGTCTCAAGTGTGTATGAGGTTCCATAAGATCAAGATCCAAGGACTGGTAGGGGGTGAAGTTCTACTGATATCTATAGAGTTTTCCTGTTACTGTATGTTATGGTTTTAGTTATCTTAATTGTTTTAGGGAATGCTTCACCTATAGCTTGTCTCTTAGTTTATCCTCATAATGTTTACCTATGCTTTCATTCCTTCCCATAACCATAACTAAAATGAAATTATTTAAAGAATGTTTATTATGTACCTATAAATTGCCAAACCCTGGAGATAAAGAAATGAGCAAAATGGTCTAGCTGTAGAGCTCCTAACCTTTGAGAATTGTGAGCATGAGCCTGGTTAGAAAAATTCCCAGAACAACGATGATACTGAAACTAAGCTTTAAAAACCATAGAGTAATTTGAGGAGAGAATAGGAGACAGTTATTATAGCACCCACATGTAACAAGATATGAAATAAGAGATCCAGCAAGAATTGGTTGTACAGAGCAAAAGTGAACATATGAGTTAAAATAAGGTCAGTGACCAGGCACGGTGTTGCACGCCTGTAATCCCAGCACTTCGGGAGGCCAAGGGAGGTGGATCATGAGGTCAGGAGATCAAGACTATCCTGGCCAACATGACGAAACCACATCTCTACTAAAATACAAAAATTCAGCCGGGCGTGTTTGCAGGCACCTGTAGTCCCAGCTACTAGGGAGGCTGAGGCAGGAGAATCACATGAACCTGGGAGGCAGAGGTTGCAATGAGCTGAGATCATGCCACTGCACTCCAGCCTGGCGACAGAGCGAGACTCCACCTCAAAAAAAAAAAAAAAAGAACAAAAGAAAAAATGGCCAGTGAGGTACATGGTATAAGGTACTGAAGTGGTGTGCACTAATGTTGTAGAATATATTCTTGGGCAAGGACAATTAAAAATTCTTTGGACTTGACAATTACGATGTCTGCTGCAATCTGTAGGATGTAAATCATTTGACATTTTCTAAATATCAGTTCTCATTTCTAATAATATGATTGAAAAATGGTATATAGGTTGTATCAAACATATGAAGGGTATGCAGCAAAACTCAAATCTTGAAATTCCAAATAAAATATCTACAAATGTATAAGAAGAATGATTACATACTGGGGCTCTGGGCATGGAAAAAGGAAGAACCATATGGCTGCTTTCCTCACCTGTACCCTTCATCCAAAGACTTTCCAGAAATTGACATCTCCCTCAGAAATGGTCATCAAAACCATAACCAAAGAAAGAAAAAAGAAAAGAAAAAAAAAAGAAAAACCTCACAGAGAAACAATAGTATATAGCTGCTAGTCAAAGTAAATGTATGCTTGTATGAGATCTTACAGCTTCACATTTTTTAGGACAGTTTTAATTATCACCCAACGTATTAGTTTCACAGTTCAACTCAGCATGATAAACCCTGTGGGAGAATTTTACTACAAAATGGCCTATTTTCTATACACACAATTTGATTACAGCTGTGTCTTTATCTCTGAAATCCATGAGAAATATGATCTTCCTTTGGAGAAGAACAAAACTGATAAACTTCCAAAGGACATCTCTGAGCACTTCTGAAGAGAAGAAATGGTATTTGGTGTACTTGGGCTTCATAAGCCATGCAACACAAATCAAGTTATAACAATTCTGACACTATCTATGGCTGCAACTAATTACTTGCCAAATTTGAATGATGATACATCAGGTCATTATACTATAGAATGATAAAAAAGAGGACAACCCAATCCTAAAGTTATATGCAACCAACAACAAATCTTCTAGTAATGTGAAGCAAAAGCTGATACAATTTAAAAGAAAAAGGGACAAAACCACATTTTAGTGGGGTACTTCCATGCCACTCTCTCAAAAATTGATAGAACTAGACATAAAATCAATAACGATATAGACAAACATATCTAGTAAAACATCTAATTGGCATTTATAGAACATTCCATCCAACAGAAGAATATGTTCTTCTTTTTCACGTGCCTTTGGAACATACACTAAGATAGAAAACAAACCACAACAAACTTGAAGGACTTGAAATCATGCAGAATGTGTTGTTTGACCACAACGGAATCAAAACATAATCAGTAACAGAAATATACCAAGAAAATCTCAAACACATAGATATTAAACAATACACTGCTAAATAATCTACATGCTAAAAAGGAAGTATCAAGATAAAACTTTTTTAAATCATTGAACTAAGTTGACACTATAACAAAACTTGTGGAACACAGCTAACACAGTGCTGAGAAATGAATAGCATTAAATGATTCTATTAGAAAAGAAGAAAATCTCTGGACGGGCGCAGTGGCTCACACCTGTAATCCCAGCAGTTTGGGAGGCTGAGGCGGGTGGATCACCTGAGGTCAGGAGTTCAAGACCAACCTGGCCAACATGGAGAAACCCCAGCTCTACTAAAAATATAAAAAAAATAGCTGGGCTTTGTGGCAGGTGCCTGTAATCCCAGCTGCTTGGGGGGCTGAGGCAGGAGAATCACTTGAACCCAGGAGGTGGAGGTTGCAGTGAGCCGAGATTGTGCCACTGTACTCCAGCCAGGGCAACAAGAGTGAAACTCTGTCTCAAAATTAAAAAAAAAATAAAAAAGAAAGAAAGAAGAGAAAAATCTTAAATCAGTAGCATTACTTTCCACCTCAGAAGAAAGAGCAAAATAAATGCAAAGCAAACAGAAAGAAAACAATAAATATAATAACAAAAATTAATAAACTTGAAAACAAAAAATAGAGAAAATCAAGTTACTTCATTTAAAAAAAATCAGTAAAATTGACAATCCTCTAAGAAGACTGAAAAAAATGAGACAGGGAGAGAGAGGACATGAATTCATGAATTACCACCAACATGAGTGAAATGTGGAACATCAATAGAGAGCCTTCAAATATTGAAGGAATAGTAAGGGGATACTACAAATAGCTCTACAAACACATACTTGACAACTTTGAGGAAATTAATCAATTCCATGAAATGCACAGACAATCACAATTTACTCAAATACTTAAATATAAATAGATAACTTCAACATCCTATAACTATTAATGACATTGACTTTATAATGTAAACTCAAAAAAGTCATCTCCAGACCAGGATGGTTTCCCCAGAGAAATTTATCAAGCATTAAGGAAGAGTTCAAATATATTTTATACATTCTCGTTCAGAAAAGAGAAGAGTAGGGAATACTTCTCAATATGCTTTATGAATGTAGTACATTCATGATACCAAAACCAAAGAAAGTATTCCCTGGTATGAAAACTAATAACAAAAAAAAATAAATGAGAGGGGGTGGGAGAAGAAAAATATGAGAGGGGGAGAGAGAAGAAAAATAGTAAAGAGAGAGAGGAGAAGCGAGCAGTAAAGAAGGAAGGAAGGAAGGAAGGCGGGGAGGGAGGGAGAAACTACCTTGCAAATATAACCACAAAAATTTTTAACAAAATATTATTATGTAGAATTCAGTAGTACATAAAAATGAATTCAGCAGTTTATACACCATGACCAAGTGGTGTTTATTCCAGGGATGCGATGTGGGAGTGATATTTGAAAATCAATCAATGTAATTTACCATATGACATGATCATATCAATGAATGCAGAGATACCATTTGATAAAATTCAACATAAATTCATTGATTTAAAAAACCCAACTCTCAAGAATACAGGAATAGAGAGAAATTACCCAGCTTGATGCTTGATAAAGAGCATCTCCAAAAAACCAGCAGTAAATGTTATACTTCATATTGAAAGACCAAATGCTTTAGTCTAAGTTTAAGAACAAGGCAAGGCTGACCAATCTTCCCATTATTCAAAATAGCACTAGATGTTCTAGCCAGTGCAACAGGCAATAAAAGTAAATAAAAGGTAAAACTAAGATTAGAGATGAAGCAATAAAACTGTTTCTATTAGGAGATGGCATGGCAGTCTAAATAGAAAATCCCAAGGAATCTACAAAAATACTCCTAAAACTGACAAGTGAGTTCAGCAAAGCTTCAGTATTCATGATAAACATAAAAATCAAATGTACTTTTATATACTAGCAATGAGCATATGGACATTGAAAATAAAAAAATTACCATTTACAATCACTAAAAAATGGCGTATAAATCTACAAAGTATACAGGCTTTTTCTATATATAGACAAGATTATTCTAAAATGCATGTGGAAAGGTAAAGGAACTAGAATGCCGCATATCTACAACTATCTGATCTTTGACAAACCTGACCAAAAGAAGCATATCTACAACTATCTGCTATTTGACAAACCTGAGAAAAACAAGCAATGAGGCAAGGATTCCCTATTTAATAAATGGTGCTGGGAAAACTGGCTAGCCATATGTAGAAAGCTGAAACTGGATCCCTTCCTTATACCTTATACAAAAATTAATTCAAGATGGATACAAAACTTACATGTTAGACCTAAAACCATAAAAACCCTAGAAGAAAACCTAGGCAATATCATTCAGGACATAGGCATGGGAAAGGACTTCATATCTAAAACACCAAAAGCAATGGCAACAAAAGCCAAAATTGACAAATGGGATCTAATTAAACTAAAGAGCTTCTGCACAGCAAAAGAAACTACCATCAGAGTGAACAGGCAACCTACAGAATGGGAGAAAATTTTTTCAACCTACTCATCTTACAAAGGGCTAATAATATCCAGAACCTACAATGAACTCAAACAAATTTACAAGAAAGAAACAAACAACTCCATCAAAAAGTGGGTGAAGGATATGAACAGACACTTCTGAAAAGAAGACATTTATGCAGCCAACGGACACATGAAAAATTTCTCATCATCACTGGCCATCAGAGAAATGCAAATCAAAACCACAATGAGATATCATCTCACAACAGTTAGAATGGTGATCATTAAAAAGTCAGGAAACAACAGGTTCTGGAGAGGATGTGGAGAAATAGGAACACTTTTACACTGTTGGTGGGACTGTAAACTAGTTCAACCATTGTGGAAGTCAGTGTGGCAATTCCTCAGGGATCTAGAACTAGAAATTCCATTTGACCCAGCCATCCCATTACTGGGTATATACCCAAAGGATTATAAATCATGCTGCTATAAAGACACATGCACACATATGTTTATTGCGGCACTATTCACAATAGCAAAGACTTGGAACCAACCCAAATGTCCAACCACGATAGACTGGATTAAGAAAATGTTGCACATATACACCATGGAATACTATGCAGCCATAAAAAATGATGAGTTCATGTCCTTGGCAGGGACATGGATGAAGCTGGAAACCATCATTCTCAGCAAACTAACACAAGATCAGAAAACCAAACACCGCATGTTCTCACTCATAAGTGGGAGTTGAACAATGAGAACACATGGACACAGGAAGGGGAACATCACACACTGGGGACTGTTGTGGGGTGGGGGGAAGGGGGAGGGATAGCATTAGGAGAGATACCTAATGCTAAATGAAGAGTTAATGGGTGCAGCACACCAACATGGCACATGTATACATATGTAACAAATCTGCATGTTGTGCACACGTACCCTAAAACTTAAAGTATAATAATAATAAAAAAAGGAACTAGACTAGCTAAACAATTTTGAAGAGGAAAAATAAGTCAGTCTACCTGGTTTCAAGTTTTATTACATAATTACAGTAGTCCACAATATGTTATACTGGCAGAGGAATAGACACAGATCAATGGAACGGAACAAAAAACTCAGAAATAAAACCATATAAATATGCCCAACTGATTTTTGACAAAGGTATTAAAACAATTCAATTCATAGCCTTTTTAATAAGTGATATTGGAGTAAGTCATCATCAGTGGGCAAAGGAAAAAGACAAGAATCTCAACCTAAACCTCATAATTCAAGCTGGATCATGGACTTAAATGTACAACTTGAAATTATTTTAAAATTTTAGGAAAAAATAGAACAAAGTTTTCATGACTTTGGACTAGGAAAAGAACACTTAAATTTGACACCAAACACAAGATTAATAAAAGGACAAAAATTATAAATAGAGCTTCAACAAAATTAAAAACTGCTCTGTACAAGACCCTAAAAGAATTAAAGAAAACCAACAAAAAATAAGCTACAGACTGGGAGAAGATATTTGCAAACCACGTATTCAACAAAGGATTACTATCTAGAATATAGAAAGACTTAAAACTCAATGGTTAAAAAGAATGCTCATTAGTATATGGGCAAAGTCCTGGTCAGACATTTCACTGAAGGGAATATACTGATGAAAAATAAAGCACATAAAAAAATTCCAACATTATTGGCCACCAGGGAAATGCAAATTAAAACGACAGTGAGATAGCACTATATCCTTAGCAGGATGGCTAAAATAAGAAAATAAATAAATAAATAAAACCACCACCAGTCATTTATACATTATTCATGAAAATGTAAAATAACCTAGCCACTCCAGGAGACAATGTTAATAAGGTTTCTTGGTGGAAAAAAAAATTGCCAAACTACATTTTCCACTATCATGCAATACAGCAATCACTCTCCTTGGCATTTATCCTAGAGAAATGAAAACTTCTGCTTACACACACAAAAAGTTCTAGAATGTTCACAGCAGAATTATTTGGCATAATCAAAAACCAGAATCAGATCAGGCATCCTTCAATTGGTCAATGTTTAAACTTCAATGGATGGTATATCCATATCAGTGGACAGAGATATTGATACAGCCAACAACCTATATAAATCACCAGAGAATAATGCTAAGTGAAAAAGCCAAACCCGGAAAGCCATATTTGTATAGTTCCATTTATAGAACATTCTTGAAGTGACAAATTTATAGGAATGGAGCACAGGTTAGTGGTTGTCAGCGGTCAGGGACGTAGTGGGTAGGGAAGCGAATGCTATAAAAAGTAAACATGAAGGATCTTTGTGGTGGTGGAGCTGCTCTGTTCTTGACTGTATTCGTGTCACTACACTGGCTATAATTTGTACATAGTTTTGTAAAAGGTTACCATTTGAGGAAACACTGGTAAAGAGTATTTGAGACCTCGCTATATATTTTTCACAATTGCATGCGAGTCTACAATTATCTCAAAATAAAGGGTTTACTTTAAAAGGGTCCTAACATCAGCAACCTCGCTTATTAAAAACTATCGCAAGAACAAAAAACCAAACACCGCATATTCTCACTCATAGGTGGGAATTGAACAATGAGATCACATGGACACAGGAAGGGGAATATCACACTCTGGGGACCGTGGTGGGGTGGGGAGAGGGGGGAGGGATAGAACTGGGAGATATACCTAATGCTAGATGACAAGTTAGTGGGTGCAGCGCACCAGCATGGCACATGTATACATATGTAACTAACCTGCACAATGTGCACATGTACCCTAAAACTTAAAGTATAATAAAAAAAAGGAAAAAAAAATCAAGGTAATAAACACGTGCATCACCTCCAAAAAAAAAAAAGTCATCTGAAGACTTTCATATCACATTAATCATAATTATGTCAACAAAAACGAAGTACATATATTTTAAACAGACTGTCATTTTTAAAACAAAAATACTAAATCTTATTTGTTCTTAATGCTCTAACTGAAGGGTAATTTTTACTTATACTAAAACTAAAAGCACCTACATTTCTTATATGTGAGCTATTTTCTCCCCCTAGAGAGCCGGAAATATGGTTGATAACAACATTTTAAAAGGCAGGTGGAAGGACATAAAGTGAGTGCCTGGAGCTCATATTGTCTTCTAAGATTCTTGGATTGAACATATTTCTATTTCAAGTTTAACTATTTTTAGCATGTTTTCCAAACAGTATCTAGGCTAAGAAAAATGTAAGATGCCAAAGTAATGGTAATTAATAATTCCAGAGGATTGTGCTTTAAATAAAGTCATAACAAAGAGCTAACACACTTTTATTAAAATGTGTAAGTTATTTACATCAAGGAAAGAGCTAGTGGATATATTTAGCAAACCGGATATGCACTGATCTTGTTATTCAAGAACATTAGATAAAGTGCACAGAAGAATCCTGTTTGGGAGCTCTGGCTTCCTAAAAAAACACTCAGAAATAAGAGGCTGCCAATGCTAATAACTAGATTTGTTGCTCCTGATTACCACATAAAGACAAGCCTCTTTCTTTTGTAATGAATCCTGATAGGTTATCCCCTTGGCAACCTGTCATTCAAGTTCACTAGCTCATTTATCCATCTACTAAATATATTATCTGCAACAAGGGCAACTTTTACTTTGCATGGGTCACTTACTACTAAAGTACAGAACCAACAGAGATGAGTGTTTAATAATCTATTGCAGGACATTTTACCACTGATTATATTCTCCTGTATTTTCACTTATGTATTTTAACATAAATCAGAGAACCTCACTCTTCTGTTCAAAACCCTCCAAAGGCTTCCATTTTTATGAAGGATGCCACACTATTCCCACTGCTCAGAATGCTTTCCCCCCAGAGAGCCACCTAGGGAGCACCTTCACCTCTTTCAGATCATTGCTCTAAAGTCCTCTTCTCAGTAAGGCTCACCCAGAGAATCTTATCTAATATTCAATTTAGCCTATCTCGCTCTAACACATTTTAGGGCTCATTTACTTTTCTTAGTGTCCATCTTTACATTTCCTTTATAGGAATTTTTTTGTGTTCTTGTTCACTGCACTATCCCAAAAATTCTTCTCATGACAAGCACAGAATATATGCTCAACAAAAACATGTTAAGTGGAAGAACTTGAAGAACTTACGTTTTTCTTGCTTTGCTATGCTTTCTACAAACACTTGCTTACTGTTTATAATGTACCAGGCATAATTCTAGCAGTGGAATCAACTACATGCTACACAACCCTTGCTCTCACAGGTCTCACTGTGGAGGAAAAGATTGCAGTTGGGGTGAGAGGAAGGTATTAAAACCGGACAGATAACCGCAGTACAATATGGGATATAGTACCAGTCTTCTTGAAAAACCCTGGGATATAAAAACAAACAAAACACAGCACAGTCCTTGAAACTCTTATCCTTAGGAATCTAATTACCTAATGAGGGAATGCCATTTAAAAGAGAGAGCAGGGTGAGGGGGGAAGATAAATAAACAGAAAAACTTTTAAAAGCAATACAATATAGCATGCATTGAGATGAGTGCAAAAAATGAGGATTCGTAAAGCATGGAAAAAGGACTAGCTAGATGGCCTGGAGAATAACATTGAACTAAGTCTTAAAAGATTAATGGCAAATTTTTAATAGTGCTTTTTAAATTATAAAGCTAGGATGAGTTTCAAAGGAAATCTGCTGAGACCCCATCTTTGAACATTTAAACAACTTATTATTATTATTTTGGAGAGTGAGAGAGTAAATTGATGAATAAAATGTAGTTGTGGTATTGGCCAGAAGTAAATTGAAGCTATATAAGGTTTGTGATAATAAATTTAAGTAAAGCCGGTCAGTAGTGTTTTGTGTTTGATCCAGCCCTGTTGAGTGGCCCAGGCACAGGTGTAAATTAGGCAGACAGGTAGAATTAGCCAAAGCTGGAGTTGCTCCAGTCAAGTATGGTGGCAGGTACAATGTACAAGCGAATATAGAGATATCCCAGTAAGTGATTATAAAGCTGAACTGGAAATATAAGCTGAATAATGTCGGAGTGAAGGCTTAAGGAGGATAATGAACATTGAAGGGTAGGCAAGATCAATAGTGAGTTGTAGATCCTTTTGAAACCAAAGTATTATTGGAGTTCAGGGTGTTGAAGAGGTATAATTCAAAATAAATCAAATAGCAGAGGTCTTCACAAATTAATAGGTACTAAATGCTATGTTTTCAAATGAATACGTTACAACTTTCTCTTAAATGCAAGAGGCTGGACCAAATGATCTATTATCCTCTATGATAAATTATAAGAGAGATGTCTAAGGTAGGTTTTTCATTTCATTCAAGTTTAAATTGTTTGCCGTATGATTTTATTGGGGGTAGATTATTAAATGCAAAGAATATTTTAAAAGTCTCTAATATGGACATTTATATGCTGGAATTTAAATGATATTGAACTTCTCAAATTATTATAGATTTGATTATCTCTGTCAAAAATTTCTTATGCTTTGATCAAAGAGCTTTCCTTCTTTAAAATACTTTCTTACTAACCAGGATTGGGGACCCCTGGTGAGTACAAAGTTTGGGCACATTATATAAGGAAAGCTTATGGAATTTGAGAATGCTTAACCTGAAACAAAAAGAAGAAATTTAGCAGTCCTAAGATGTTGAAAGTGGGCATGCACAAGGTAAGATCTAAATAGTTCTGAATTTAGGCTCTGGAATCATTTAGATCTACATTTGAAATGTAGCTTTGTGACTTGGGCAAGTTACTTATCTTACTAAAAATTATTTTCCTCTTTCTGAAGCATTTCTGAGGAAGTCATTTGTAAGGTTGGTGAGAAAGGGAATTTGATTACATGAACTTAAATCTACAATTATTTAATCCCAT
Source organism: Homo sapiens (assembly GCF_000001405.40). Classification (NCBI taxonomy): domain Eukaryota; kingdom Metazoa; phylum Chordata; class Mammalia; order Primates; family Hominidae; genus Homo; species Homo sapiens. Next base: position 49,619,978 of record NC_000011.10, on the reverse strand, counting down.
ATGCAAATAGATGAAATATTTATGTTTTTGAGACTAGAATAGAAGCCTCTCTTCTATTTAAAGACACTGTCCTTCAGACAGAGCTCTTCTTGGTTCCTCAGTCTAATCAAGAACTCTAAAGCCAGGAGAAACAGCATATGGGTTACACGCAATTGAAAACTCAATGATTCCACCTCCAAAACTGGACTACATTTTGGCAGAACAGACTGCCTCTAGGCTTAGGACATTACTGACTTCTCTGACTATGGGATTTCACAGCTGGGAGCAGGACCAACTTAGCAAAACTCTTACATAGATGAAATCTATCTTTGGATTTATGCTGACAAGTAAGATTCTGCAACTGGTTTTTAAAATATTTTACTAAATTTTATGTGTTTAAATGTAAGTATGAAAGAAAGAAATTTGAAGTTGTCAGAACTTGTTGAAGGACTCCTTATTTAAGCAGAAGTTGACAAATTTATTACATTGCGTACTAAAAGCAGGCTATACATTTCATATCGGGAAGGAATTGGAAAGAGCAGAAATAACAGGAGTCAGGAAGAACCACTTGCTTGTATTAGGTTGGCTTGACTTGGAGAAAATATCCAATTTGTCAAGCTAGGGTCAGGAAAGTCAAGGTGTAATTTTCCGTCCAACAATGGATAGTTATAAAGGGCCAAACAAAGGTAACAGTAATGGGAATGGATATATTACAATCTACATCGACTATCTCTGGATTCAGAATGCCTTTAATGTTGAATTCTGGAGTATGTTACCTTAAGTAAGTTACTCAGTTTTTCCTCAGCTATAATATATCTATTTTTAGAGATTGTACGAGTATTAAATATGGCAAATTAGTAAGTATTTATATCTGTGCCTGGCATTTAGGAGGTGATCAGTAAGGTATTACCAGTAATGTAACGGTGGATGCCTTCAGTGATCATTGGCCAGAAATGTTGTACAAAGGATTTAGGGGATGTTTGAGGGCTTGACTTAAATGGTTATCACAAGCATTCACTTAATTTAAATTTTGGTGCTCACCTACCATATTCTTGTCATTTTGCTAGGCATTGGAACTATGCAAATAAAAGCCCTATTCCTTGTATTTAAGAGTGCATAGTCTAGTAGAGAAAGAATAAAACAACAGGAAAACAAAATGTGCTATGAAAGCACAAAGGACAGATATTAGTAAAGAACGGAAGCATAAAGGGGCAGTCATTGAAGAAGGCATCCAGGGGTTTGAAACAATGGAAGCGTATTTCAAATTGAGAGAAAAGCAAATGAAAAGTTATAATATGTAAAAAGCACAGCATTGCAGAATATGGAAAGAGAACAGTATAGTAGAAAGAGGACGTAATTTAGAATTAAAGAACCTGGTTTCTGTGGCCTGGCTATGCCATATACTGCCATGGGACTAAGCAAATTGATACAACTTATCTAAGTTTCAATGTACTGATCTGAAAAGTGAGATTCATAATATTTACCCTGGCATAGTTGTGAGGCTTAAATGAGATAAGTTATGCATTTACTTCAGAAAAGTATTTCTTTTTATACCATTTCCAAATGAGCTGACAGTCTTCCTTTCTTTTGGACTCTAGTCATTAACTCTAACTCTCTCCCTGCTTCCACCTGGACCCCTGCTCCTAACCCATTCTCCACCATCCAGGCTGAAGAACCTAAATGCACACCAGATCAAGTCACATCCCCACTTAAAAGCCCCCAATGACTTCCCATTGCTCCTAAAACCAAATTATTAATGATGGGCTAACAGATCTTTCATGATTTGTCCCCTGCCTGTCTCACTAAAGTCATTTTCACGCCTTGCTCTCCTCACTCTCTGTGCACCAGCCACTTTGGCCTTCTTTGAGTTTACACATATCCATGCCCCTTCCTGCTCTTTCTATTTTGCATATTATCTTTACCTCGTCCTTGTCCTTCTCTTTCTCCCACTTTGCCTACATAATTTCAAATCTTTTTTGTTTTGTTTTGTTTTGTTTTGTTTTGTTTTGTTTTGTTTTGTTTTGAGACAGATTCTCGCTGTCACCCAGGCTGGAGCGCAGTGGCGCAATCTCGGCTCACTGCAAGCTCCGCCTCCCGGGTTCACGCCATTCTCCTGCCTCAGCCTCCTGAGTAGCTGGGACTACAGGCGCCCGCCACCATGCCCGGCTAATTTTTTGGTATTTTTAGTAGAGACGGGGTTTCACCATGTTAGCCAGGATGGTCTCCATCTCCTGACCTCGTGATCTGCCCGTCTTGGCCTCCCAAAGTGGGGGATTACAGGCTTGAGCCACCGCGCCCGGCCCAAATCATTTTTAAAATCTTGCATCAAGTGTGCCTATCCCACCCTTATTTATTAGGCCACATGCCCCTATCATAGGATCTCCCAGGACTTGCTTCCTTTACTTTTTAGCACACAGCGAAGATAAAATTTTGCATTTGTTAAGTGATAATTTGCATCCTTCCAACCAGACCGTGACCCCAGGAGAGTAGTGAATATTTGCTTTTTCTTGAACTATAACACCACTGTTCTTTTCATGTCAGCATATCTCTCTGCTAAGTTTAGTGCCAAGTATATGGTATGTGTTCAGGAGCATCTTTTGAATGGAGGAATAGATGAAACTTCAAATGCAGTGATTGGTCACATTGTTAATAATCAATCAACAAGAGTGATCTTCATTACTGCCATTATTCTGCTGCTAGTTTATGTTTAGGGTTTTTATAAATAGAGCATAGATGCAAGACAAGAAGGGAGAAAAGCGATGCTGGGGGAAGTACAAAGAGACTAGATAGGTAATAAAGGTTTATTTGTTTTATACCTTGTTAGGTCATATGGGTTTTATCCAAGTGTGTAAGAGGAAGAATTAAAGGGGCTTAAGCAGAAGGGCATGATGAATAGCTCAATGTTTAAGAACCTCTGGTGGCAGAATGCAAAATTAATTACAACTATGAAGTGAAGACAGGGAGAGCAGTTAGAAGACTCTTATGAAATCAAGGTGAGAAGTAAAAGAAGGTACTGAATGAGGACTATGAATCCTCAGTTTCTGTAGTTTTCTAATCTTCCTGTGTTTAACGCTGTGTCATTAATAACTTCACATGATTGGTGAAAGTGGCAACCTTTCATTCCTTGTTTAATCACTCACAATATTAATGCATCTATAATATAACTTCAAATAAAGAAACACAGTCCTGGATAATACTTAAAATTAGAATTCCAAACTTCAATACCATTGTATGTACTCAGAAAGAAACTATCTTTGTTGTAAGAGGAGAAATATGTAATAAAATTATATGGGTTTTTGTGAGTCTTTATTAAAAAGGAAACTGTGAAAAAACCGCATGACATAGACAAGAAAAAAGTCTCTTTGGACCAAAATTTCTTCTTTGAAAACCTATGCTGGAAAGAATTCGTATGCAGTGCTGACATGTAAACTCAAGGATATATAATGTTTACTATTTAAACCATTTACTTTACTAACCAAAATAAAAGACATGGTTAGCTGGCTAATCAAGCAAATATTCAAAATAAAATTAAATTTAAGTATGCTCAGATCTCTATCATAAATCATACATTTCCTCTGGTGTTATTTCTCTCCATTATATGTAAATAGACAAGGACTCTTCCTGCAAAATTGTTTTACTACACAGTCTGTATTTATGCATCTAAAATGTTATTCTTCATGGCTATGTTTCTATAGACATCAAGGTTATATAAATTTGATTTTGATAATAGTATATATATCCAAAACTATAATAAGTGATAGTTCACTAGTTGTTAGTACTTTTGTTATAATTGAACTCAAAGAACGCAATCATGTTGTTACTGGTTTCATCGTAAGGTTAAGTTCTCCAGTATAAAATTTCATTACTAGGCACTTATGTGGGAGAAAACAGTTTGGTCTACTCTATTGTCTTTATATATTCTGCTATTTCTAATTCAAACTCATGAAAAAATGTTTCTTCACATTACACTACAAATATGATTACCATCCATAAGTAATGATTTACAGTAAAAGGCAATCAAGAAAAATCATATTTAGAAGATAGAAGGAACAATAAATTTGCATAAGTTTTTGAAGAATATTCTTGCATTTTGATTTGCCTCTGTTATTTCTTTAGTTTGTTTCTTCATTAAGGGTATTTTAGCATAATTTTAAAAACATAACTGACAAGTGATAACTTTTTACTTACAACTAATTAGGAGCCTAATTTACCTTTAGCCCTATTGTTTTACACACCTCATAAAAGATAACATCAATGTCTGATCCCTCTTACGCATCTCTTCCTTCTTTGCCCCTCTACCTAAAAATAAAAATAAAAAACCTTAAGATGTATGAGGTAAGCACAGGTTTTATAAGTTAATTTTAAGTGTATAAATGAATTAATTTGTTAACACAAAGGTAAGTTGACATATTAGCATACCAAGAGGTAATGTCACTAAATTGTAAATCAAGTAACTACAGAGACTTTATTCATACCTCTTTTCCTTCTTTGGTATTCCTTAACCTTTTCAAGTTTAATGAGCTAATTTCAATTTTGAAAAAAGGAATTGAGAATTAGATAATTACATCCAGCTTTATTTTAACCACTAATTGACCTAAGTTATTTAGCAGCCCATTGAGAAAATTAAAGCTCAGAGAAATAGAGGAATTTACCTAAGATCATCAAGTTAACAGATGAGAAAACTAGGACTCACATAGTGGCCATTATATTCATTAAGTAATATAATTTCATACATTAAGTATGTATGAAATTGTGCAGAATACAAAAAGTGTTTAAGATCTAAGAGCAATGATCTCTAAGCCGTAAAATAAAAACACAAAATCAAAATGTTTACAATTGTAATAAATACATTTAAATTGAAACATCAATTAGCTACAAACTCCACATATGCATATACACACATATTATATATAATATAGATACATGTATACGTGTATATGAACTTATATGTATGTATGTACACATGTATATGGGCATATACATTACAAAGGATTGAGGCAAATATTGAGCAAATGATTATTAAAGGTAAATTTTCAGAGTCTTAAGATCATGGCCTATCATTGTTGGACATTTGGGTTGGTTCCAAGTCTTTGCTATTGTGAATAATGCCGCAATAAACATACGTGTGCATGTGTCTTTATAGCAGCATGATTTATAGTCCTTTGGGTATATACCCAGTAATGGGATGGCTGGGTCAAATGGTATTTCTAGTTCTAGATCCCTGAGGAATCGCCACACTACCCTAAAACTTAAAGTATAATAATAATAAAAAAAAGATCATGGCCTATTATACAGGATTATATGCAATAAAAGCATGCCCACAGAATACTCTCCCTGAAAGTTAGAGTGTGAATATATGATGTAACCATGATTTGCATTGAGATCTTTTGGATTCCAAAGTCTAAGATTTTATCACGACACTACCCTATAAACATGGCCCACAGAAACTGTGTAACTTGGTCAAATCTTACAGCAAATTCAGAGCTAGAGAATGTGTAAAATATACATAACCCCTGCTTCCCAATAAACCCTATAAGTATAAGCTATTTGAGAAAGAATTTAAATGCCCAAGGATCACAGAATTATGAAGGTATCATGTGGCCACCTAGATAAGGGTCCTTAGCCTAGAATTCATGCAACTGTAAGGGATTTAGGGTGGCACAGAATTGTTAAAATGATATATAGCTGTATTTTGTGAAAATTTCATGTTTATGCCAATTAAAATTATAGACAACATGTTATTCTTAAAGGGAGTTATAATTGTTAAAAGTTTAAAAATTATTGATATAAACAACTTTTTAGATGACTAAGTGGAAACACAGAGAGCCAAAGTGACTGTGGAGAACCATACAACTGGATAATGGGAGAATAGTTATTAGAACATAGGTTTCTTCCTTCCTTTCCCTCCTCAACTGACCATGTCATGGTGCCATATGTATTAAGCCACACCATGAGCTTGCAAAAGCAAAGCTAATATCTCCAGAGGATGGCACATGATTATGAGAAAATGAGAAGCCTTAGTGGTCTGAGGCATCCTGATGGACTCTAGGTAACTTCCTCCTTTGCTTTCCAAAAGAGTAATAAGAAAAGCTATGTTTAATTTAATGTGGTTCCATTTGTAGAGAGAAACAATATCTGCTGCTTTATAACTTATGGTGCAAGGATAACTCAGGCCATTTTCTAAGGAAACTCAGTGAGTTAGAATCTGCTAACCTCAGTAAACAAAACCTCAGTTAGCTGTAATTAATGTTCATAGTGCATCTGCTTAATTTTCCTAATGCAATAGCCCTTTTTTCTTTTTCTTTTTTTTTTCTTTTAAAACTTCTGTAATTCTTCATGAGCTTTACTTTTGGTAATTTACAGGGAGGTTTCTTAATCTTATTTTAACATGGTATTGCAATACTAATCTGAATTTTTTTGAGGATGGAGGGATTTTAAGAAACAATTTTAAAACAAATAGGTCTATTCATCAAAATGTTCAGACTAAAACAGTTATGAATATCGTGGGAATAACTTATAAGGGAGACGACATCTTCATTATTAGTTCAGTGGTGTCTAGTTGAAAATGTCTGTATTACAGAGAAGTTGGCAGGAGCTGCTAAGAATGCTTCAGCTTGTCCACAAGTAAGAATTAATCCTAACTGATTACTGAAAACCAGAGCTTTGCACAAAATTGCCTTTTCATTCACAGTGGCATCTCAACACTGATTACGTGAAATCTGCAATGTACTTTCAAAGAAACTGCGATGATATACTTGATAAAGCATAAAAATTGATCTCTGCCACCACCACCAACCATGAAGCAGCCTACAGCATCTTGACCACTAACTGAATTGATTATTAGGGGCCAGACAGTCTTCTAAATACATTGCATACATTAATTTATGTAATCTTCATGGGATTGCTATTATATAGATGCTATTACTCAATATATCTACATTATAGCAATGGTATTTCATAGATATTTTCATAGATGAATAAATTTGCATTTCAGGAGAATTAAAAATTTGATCGTTTCACAGAATGATTAAGGGAAGAAAGTCTGGATTTGACCTCAAATTACCTTGATTCCAAAGCTAGTTCCATTAACTATCAAGTTACATTGTTTCCCATTCTGATAGCAATAATGCATAGGCTAATGGATACATTTTTTATAATGATCAAAAAATTACAGTGAAAGAAAAAAAGGGTGGGAAAAAGAGAAAATGGAGGGAGTGAGTGAAGAATGGAAGAGACAAAAGAAGAAACAAATAATTTAGAAATAGAAAATCTACAATCAGAGGAGAAGACATTGAAGATAAAAATGAACAGCAAAGTAAGAGTAGACTTTCTGTTGCAATGGAGGTTTGGGAAAAGAAGGTAAAATATATCTGCATATAATACTTGCAAATAAAGATCTGTAGGGATAGCAGGAATTCCTCATGCCAGTGAAGTAGGTGCCCAGCAGGAGGAAGCTGACTCGCACTCCTTACGTCAGAGCGTTCTGGCCTAATCCAGCGAATTCTGACATCAAGCTCCCCTGAGCAGAGTCTGAACCATTTAACCTAGCATGGTGAGAGAGTCTATTTGGTGATCTTTATTGCTGCAAATAGGGGTCTTTTTTGGGAAAATGTACGATGTGTAAAAAATATAATTACCTTATGACTCTACATTGAATGCATACATTATTCTCTCTCTAGGATCAAATCCACTAAGAGAATCAAGAACTGCTGCACAGAAACCTTTGATAGCCAATGTCCTAATACGAAGAAGAAGTAAATGAACAGAAGGAGACATAGACTCAAAGCTCTCGCAAAATTGAACAATATATCAAGGCCCTACATTGACCAAACATTAACATTAAAAGAGCCTCTGCATGTCAGCATTCCAGCCAGCCCAAATCGTCAAAGAGCAAGAAAGCAATGCTGAAGAACAATGTGAAGGAATCATTACATACTGTTTGAATAGTTTCCTAAATTCACTCAGTGCTCTATCTATTATTAGCTATAGCACAGAGAACTCGTTTCCTATTACAGATGGTAGAGAATTTCTAGTTTGCATAAAATCAACATCCTCTAAAGTCCTGAAAAAAACATATGTTTGCAGACGCTTACCCAAAGATAGCAACAGAACATTCATTATTCATTAGCTGTTTCATTTCAAATTTTTTATGATCTATTTGCCATATTTCACTGAGTCTAAGATCTTGTGGACAAAGTCGATAGGTACTCTCTTTGTAACACAGTTAAGATCAGACTTTAAGATAGCATGTTGTGTTGCTACATGTAAGAGTTCTGTAATCTAATGCAATAGATGACAAATATTGGAAGCTAAGCATATGTGTTATTTTTCTGCATTTGTCAATTACTATTTTAGAGGAAATATTTAGGCTTTCCTTGCTCATGTTCCTGACTTGGTCCACAGAGAACAAATGTCCACAAATAATCTTGTCTTTACGGGAATATTAGAAAGAAACAAATAACTTCTTTTTCATTTTATAGCTTTAAAAGCACAAGAAGAGGGAGGGTACTACTTCATTCTCCATGCATGGCTTGAATCAAGCTGGTTTACGGATCTCTGCATTGCACATTAGGAGCATCATATATTGGTCAGAATCCTGATGGTGAAGTGAACAATACAAATTCAGGCCCCAGGCCTCACTCTCACACCTGACAATTCTGTGTATTTTGAAGCACTCCGAAATCTTTATGAGGGCAGACTTGCCCCATACTATTATCAGGGAAGACTTATCTTGCTTCTGGGTGCAAAAATAGTTGTAAACTGTCAAAGCTATTTATCTTCTCATGTCAACTCCCTGCTCATTATTAGGGGTTCAGGGAAATGTCATTTCTACTGAGAAATGGTTTTTACAACCCAAATCCAAATCCAATGCTCCTTTTTCTGTGATCCCTTAACAATTTTAATCTTATTATAGCACTTATCACAGCCTACCAGATAGTTATTAAAATTATTTGAGCATGCATCTTGCTCATGGACTAGAAGTGAATCCCTAGTGGTTAGAGATTAGGTAACACTTATTCATGTAGCCTCCCACTTCTTATAAAGTACATCACGTTTGAAAAGTATGGAAAGACTTCAATCTTTAAGGCTTATATTTTTTATTCTAGTTCGGAAAAGACAGTGTGCCCAACATCAGTAAGTCAGGTATTCTGGAGATATTTGCTACATAGTCACAAATATATCTATCCATTATCATATGCACACATACATATACACAAACATACATATATACGTTTGTGCATGTGTCAAATACACACACAAACACATAATCACAAATACAACACTACAGGTATCTTCCCTTTTCTTTTCACAATTGTTGCTAGTAACTCAACCTCTATTTCTTAATAGAAATTTAGACTACTTAAGGAAAGAAAATTGTAGAGATCATAGAGATCTACCAAGACCATTAGTATCATAGCACATGGTACAGAAAAAAGAATTTGTGTTACCGGTCAACAGTGCTGGCTCATCATAAAGGCACAAAGACAATTTGCTGAGCTGAGCTGAGCTTGGTTTCAATGCTATTACTTCAATTCATTTTCCCCTAAAGATAGGGCTGTTTTTTTGCCTCTTTCAATTGAACTTATGTACATAGAGAGTAGAAAAATGGTTACCAGAGGCTGGGAAGGGAAGTGGGGGCACTGGGAAGGGGAGGCACAAATGATTAATGGGTACAAAAACAAAATAGAAAGAGTGAATAAGACCTACTATTTGATAGCACAACAGGTTGACTATAGTCAAGAATAACTTAATTGTATATTTTTAAATAACTTAAAAATGCAATTGGATTGTTTGTAACTCAAAGGATAAATGTTTGATGGAATGGATACCCCATTTTCCTGGATGTGCTTATTTTATATTGCATGCGTGTATCAAAACATCTCATGACACCATAAATATATATACCTACTCTGTACCCACAAAAAGTCTTAAAAATAATTTTTAAAAAATTTTAAAAGCTTTGCTTCAATTACTCTTGAATGCTTGGTTCTGGCACCGCCTACTTCTTGTGGGCATAGTGCCCACTGCACGTGTTCAAGTGAGCTGCACTCATCCATCTTTCACTAGGGCTGATTCATAGGGTGGCCAGAACCAATTTAGAACCATAGCTTGCTGCTTACATAAATCAATGAAATCGTATGAAACACAATATAACATGGTTTCATTGAAAGAGCACAGGTGTCAAAAGGATGTGAGTTTACATATTACATAACTTAATATTTATTTGAACTTGGACTGGTCACTTAGCCTGGTTGAACTTCAAATCCTTTATTGGTGAAATGAGCATCCACTCATAAAATTTCATTAACTTACTTCATAGGATTGCTACCTTGTATAATTTTATACACTATGAATTCTCATACAAAAGTCAGTGATACCAGATCGCACAATTTAAAATTTATAGGCAGACACTTCACTACTTTTTCTTCCCTTCACTGTGAAGTAACACATGATATCACCTTGGTGGCACTCGCAAGGTATTTGTTGGCTGGCTGTTTTATTGTGGTTCTTCCTGCCACTCAAGTGCTCATGACTGAGAAGAAATCAATGGGTGTCTGTTGGCAGTGTTTTGAAAGACATATTCCTTAGGTAATAGAGGTAGTCACTCATAAAAAAAAAAAATTTCTGGATATTAGTCTGCCCTCGTGGATATCTCAGGGCCTCATACTTCATCAGGCAATGGCCAGTTCATTTTTTTAATCCAAAGCTACACAGAGAGAAACACTTCATTCTGTGTGTGTTTTAAAAGCCCAGGTAGCACTAAATACCATTTCCCAGGAAGTGTGCCAAGTACTTTGGAGAATGTACATTGAACTTTTCATTAGAAAAGCTTCCCAAATGGGTAAGAGTTATCTGACAGAAAATAGTTTCATATCTCACTACACCTTTAAGTGTGATTACACAAACCAGCTTGGAAGAATACCAGGCAGCACCTGGCTGTTCTCACCTTGACTCTACCATTAGCTAACAATCAAAACCACAATGAGATACCATCTCACACCTGTTAGAATGTCAATCATTAAAAAGTCAGGAAACAACAGGTGCTGGAGAGGATGTGGAGAAATAGGAACACTTTGACACTGTTGGTGGGACTGTAAACTAGTTCAACCATTGTGGAAGTCAGTGTGGCGATTCCTCAGGGATCTAGAACTAGAAATACCATTTGACCCAGCCATCCCATTACTGGGTATATACCCAAAGGACTATAAATCATGCTGCTATAAAGACACATGCACACATATGTTTATTGTGGCATTATTCACAATAGCAAAGACTTGGAACCAACCCAAATGTCCAACAATGATAGACTGGATTAAGAAAATGTGGCCCATATACACCATGGAATACTATGCAGCCATAAAAAATGATGAGTTCATGTCCTTTGTAGGGACATGGATGAAATTGGAAATCATCATTCTCAGGAAACTATCGCAAGAACAAAAAAACAAACACCGCATATTCTCACTCATAGGTGGGAATTGAACAATGAGAACACATGGACACAGGAAGGGGAATGTCACACTCTGGGGACTGTTGTGGGGTTGGGGGAGTGGGGAGGGATAGCATTAGGAGATATACCTAATGCTAGATGACGAGTTAGTGGGTGCAGCGCACCAGCATGGCACATGTATACATGTGTAACTAACCTGCACATTGTGCACATGTACCCTAAAACTTAAAGTATAATAATAATAAATAAAATAAAATAAATAAAATAAAATAAAAAATGTGAGTTAGGGGGCATGTCATTTAACCTCATTGCTTTTGTTTTCTCTCCTGATCTAGAAGGCATGATATATTTGCCAGCTGAGGTCCTCCCTGTTTCTAAAAGTGATCAAATGTGGTTTTTAGTAGAGCAGATTGCAGATATTGAAACAATCAAAACCCAGTTGGAAGGAAAGAGAAGATTTCAGTCATCTACAGGGGAAAAAACACTATATTCAAAAATTTATTTTAGTGCTGAGCTTTCTAGTGTTAAGGTAGAACTAACTAAATACATGTAAATTATATCTATATATAAATATGTTATAAAATATATAGAACCATTATATATGTTTTGTATTACACATATATTTATTTATATATACCATAAAACATATTTGTGCTTATCTATAACACATAACATATATAATATACATTCATCTTTCATATTTATTATATATACATCATACATATATGTACATATTATGTGCATGGAAATAACGGTTTTTCACATAGAGAGATATTTTCATAAAATTTTCAAAAGTAATTTTTATGCTGACATGTCTTTATATAAGGACTTGGAATAACAATATTCCTATTGTCTTTAATAATAGTCTTATAGAAAGAAATTAATAGTACATTTCCAATATTTTGTGGTGGTGGTATTTGCTAACCAATGCAAAATCCTCTATATACACTGTCTGTTGTTATTTAAGTAGCCCTGAAAAGTAATTCTTATCTGCTGTTTGAGAAAGGATGAAACTAGCATTTAGAGAAGTCGAGTGATTTTCTTATTGTCAATTAGCAAGTATAACAGTAAGCCATTATGATGTGGCTGTTTCTACACATCTGGGTGTACTTTAGTGGGCATGCTTCTTTTGTGAGGCCAAGTCAATAAAGACCATGTTGGCTCCTGAAATTTAGTGTATGCATACTAAGGTCTACCTCTAGTGGGATAGGATAAAACAGTCAGGAAGATATTTTCCTAAAGTAAATACTGCTTCCACTCAGTTTTTCATTGCAAACTGGATAATAGCCATCTGCAGATAAAATTTTTGATGGGAGTACATGATGAGAGTACTTTAAATTGTTTGTAGAAAGAAAAGCTATATACTTTAACTACCAAATACAAGTAGCAAGGCTAGCACTATCATTAACACCAAGAAGCTTTCTTCATATTCTCTCATTTATGACTACACAGAGGTACATATAAGAATAAATTTGATGAGCTCTCAAGTCCTTCCAAACTTTAACATTCTGTCACCATAGAACAAACTATATATAAACTAAGCAAACGTTTGACTCCATTAAAAATAAGAAATTCATCAGTGCATCCTTGTTCTGGTATGACCCTCAGACCACCAAGGTTTAACTAATGGACTTCTGAGTATTACCTTGGCTCTAGTCTGTAGCAATGCTCAATGAATAAAAGATAAGTAGGCTCTTCTGTTAATACTAGTTTATGCCCTACAAAATAAACTTTATTGAGAATGTCATTCTTGAGACAGACTCATTCAACAAAATTAAAAAACAAACAAGGCATAGCATAATGTACAGAAGTTGAAAGCTGGCCTTCAGCACACCTCCTCCTTCCACCAGCTACTGTGTTTTACTTCTCTCCACAGGTGTAATGAAAATGCCTCTTACCATTTATCAAATAAATACCTACTCTGCTCTCAGTACTTGATACCTATGACTTAATCCTTCCAACAACCTTTCAAGAGAAGAATGATAATTCCCACTTATAAAAAAGGAAGCAGAAGCTGACTGGCCAAGGTAACAGAGCTACTAACGGCAGACCCAGGATTTCAGTCCAAGTGTATCTGATTCCAAGCTTGAACCCTTTAACACAATATGCTTCTTCTCACAAGTACTATATCAGATGCACTGTTGTTTCCTGTTATTTGTTGAGTACTCACCATAGAGTTTCTATTCCAGAAGGAAAATAAGAGATTTAGAAGAAAAGCTACAGAATGTTTGGTTTTCAGTTCCTAAAAAGAAAGGGTCATAGGTGAACAAAGCATTTAGATAAAAGTCTAGGTCAATATGCCCATCACTAGCACTTTGTTTTTACTTCTTACAACCTCTTTCTCCAGTGCCTCCCTCCTACTCTTCCAGTTGTATATCCACGGCTTGGCACATGATAGGCCCTTTAAATAAAATTACTTAAACTATCTGCCTCAATTTCCTCATCTATAAAATAGGATAATTTAAATTTCAGGTTTGTTGCATGGATGAAATCAGTACAATACAGCATCTGACACAATATATGGCACACAATTATCTAATAAAGGGTAGTTATTGTTGCCATTGTCATTACAGATTTGTTGAATGATTTAGTGAATGAAGCTCACATTCAGGGCACATGTAGTGTCTATAGGCCAAATAGTTGTGCTTAACACCAAGCAGTATCTGTGTACCAAATCCAACCCCCAGAATAGAGCCTTGCCCCTCAGAAACAAGACACTTTTCAGTAATTATGTTATCAGTGATGCAATAATATGTGAAATGTACTGTGGCGAGATCCCTCAGTCATTGTTCTTTTCAACATCATATCAGTACAAAGGCAGCTGATGCCATTTGCTGGGCTTAATATTTCTGCCCCTTCAGTTACTATTTCATTAAAAAACACATTTATTTGTTCTAACATTGTTTTATTCAATATTTTTAAAAATTTATTCTACTATGTCTTGGACATTTATCTATCTACTATCTATCCCAAATGCTATGAGAGGCACTGGGATATGGAAATTAAAGACCTGTCCTTGAAGAACATTTAGTTCTGTGAAAAAATGGTCATACAATGCAATAGGGACTAGAGAGGAGGGGCTAATACAAACCATGGTGATGGGGGATAGTGGGAAGTTATGGGATTATGGGATTACATAAAAGGTTAGGCTTCCTAAAAGAGTGCCCGGAATTTTGAAGGATAAATAAGAATAATAATATTTTTAAATAAACTTTTCATTTCAGAATAGTTGTAGATTTATAGAACCACTGTAAATATTGCACAGAAAGTCCCTATATACTGCATACCCACATTTTCCCGTTAACATCTTGCTTTAATATGGTTCATTTGTCACGAAGAGTAAACTAATATTGATACATTCTTACTAACTAAAGCCCATAGTTAGTTCAGACTTCCTTAGTGTCTTCCTAGTATCCTTTTTCTTATCTGAGATCACATCCAGGTTACCACACTAGATTTAGCTGTCCTGCCTCCTTAGGCTCCTCAAAACTGTGACTGATTGTCATGTTTTTATTGTTTTAGATCACCTTGACAGTTTTGAGGAGCATGAAGTGGGTATTTTGTAGAATGTCCTTCCATTGGGATATGTCTGATGTTTTTCTCTCAGATTACATTGGGGTTGTATGTTTTTGGGAGGAAGATCACAGAAGAAAGTGCCGTTCTTATTTGCATCATATCGAGGGTATGTGCTGTCATCATACCCTTATCACTGTTTGTGTTACACTTGATCACCTGGTCTTAGTGTTTGTCAGCTTTTTCCACCATTCCATACTGTCTAGGCTTTGTACAGAAAAATGTCATATCAAGAACAAACCCTTTCAGCTGGGCATGGTGGCTCACACCTGTAATCCCAGCACTTTGAGAGCCTAAGGCAGGTAGATCACCTGAGGTCAGGAGTTCAAGACCAGCCTGACCAACGTGATGAAACCCCATCACTACTAAAAATATAAAAAAAAAAAAAATTAGCTGGTCTTGGTGGTGGGTGCCTGTAATCCCAGCTACCCAGGAGGTTGAGGCATGAGAATCACTTGAGCCCTAGAGGTAGAGACTTCAGTGAGCCGAGAATACACCGCCACTACAATCCAGCATGGGCGACAGAGCAAAACTCTCTCAAACAACAACAACAACAACAAACATACCCTTTCATCTCCAATACTTCCCAAATTTCGGAGTGGAAAGATTATTTCTGATGCCAGAACCTGTAGAAAAGTTTCTGCTATAAAACAGGAAGACAAATCAGGCAGCTTTGGTTTAATCATTCATATGATTCCATTAAAGAGGCTGTACTGCCTGAGAGATGTGGCATGGCTCTGGAGGCCCCTCTTATTATGATTTTCTTCACACATGCAAAGAGCTCTGTTTTATGGGCTGCAGCTGCAGCAACCATTAGGAAGTGCCTCATAATCTCAACAGTGCAAAATCTGGGCAGGGACAGGGTGAGTTCAGCCATGCATGGTTTATGGAAGGTCAGGGAGGTAAGCCAAAGCATTACCAATTGTTAATTCTCACTATTCCAGGTGCTGAATATACCTTATCTAATTTAATTTAACCCACATAATTACCATGTGAGTTAAGCATTTCCGGTCCTATTTATAGTGCACAAGTGAAAGTCTCAGATAACACAAAATAGTAAGTGCAGAATTGGAATTTAAGCCCAGGTGTTTGGACTTCCAATCTCATGTTTATGGCATCAAAAGACATTTTAGCAACAATCCAACATTAACAATATGTCACATCCATTTTCCACCACAGATTGTTCAGAGCATGCTCACTTACAGGAAACATTCTTAAGCTAAGTCTTCATCTTTCCTGTAATGGGAGAAATAGTAGAAGTCCATACTAAGAATGTGGACCACAGTAGAATTTAGTGATAGACTGTTGGAATTACTAAAGATCAGTGGGTGCTGACAGTCAGAGAATTAAAACTATAACACTGTTAGAGGAGTAAAAACAAGCCAAATTATGGCCATGATGGTCCTCATTCAATTACACTAGTAGGTAGCCCACTTAAAAAACTCCATATAATCTGGTCTACATGTCCTAGACACAGAACTGAAGGAACCATCGATTCCAGCTTCATGCTTATCTGGTTTTTGATGAATTAATGATCCCTTATCCCTGTGAGACCATTCATTACATATTATTCTATGTTAAAAATAATAAGTGTGACATACATTTACGCAATATATACTATGTGCCAAGCATGATCCTTAGGGCTGTATTAATCATTATCTCATTTAATGCTCAAATATCCTTCTATGTAATCACAGTGAATCTTATTTGGCAGGAAAAAGAAAAAACTGGCTTAGTGAGATTAGTGCTTTCTCATGGTGGCAGAATTAGGACTCAAATCCAGGATATTCTGTGGCTATTTCCTTTCCAATACCCTGTGAGAGTCTCCATGAAGAAGGATAAATAATACATTTGACCACAGTCCCCTCATTTCACCGTCTAAATTCCAGGTCATAGTTATCTTCATACAACTTCATTAGTGAATACTGAATGGATTTGTTATTACAACAGTCTGATACTCAATATTTTGAAGCTAATGAAAAAAAGAACAGAAGGGATTCAGTGGATCTTTGGAGTCCTGGAAAAAAGAAAAAGCTTTATGAAGTTCCTCACAAGTCCTCTGCTTCCCTCAATATAATAAACAGAAAGCAAAATATGCAGGAAGAAATAAAAAAGAAAATATCACTAACAAGGTCACTCCATCACCTGCACAAGCCTCTTTAAAATCAGCCCATGGCCAAGGTTCCTGCTGTCAGCTCACTGGACTGGGAACTCATTGGATAACTGCTTCCTTAATCCTATCTTTCTGCTTCCTTGATTCTCAAGGAAGTTTCCAAAAGCTGGGGATGCATATACCAAAATTATTGGGAGAACTGGTGGTATGCAAGGTTGCAGTATTCATTTCAACTCAAGAAAATGATTAACTGCACAGCTCAGTACAATTTTGAGAAGTTTTCAAGTGCAGGCAGTCAGTACTGAAAAACTGCAGCTCAAATTCCCATGATCCCTTGAAAAAAATGGAGACAGATATGTTAAAAGGGGAAAAATCATGTGAAGATGGCTGGTAGAGCTAAGAAATGCAATTTTTAGAATTGGAAAGAATTGAGTTTTAAACTCTAGACTCTATATTTTTTGGGCATGTCACTTAAGTTGTCAGAGTCTCAGTTTGTCTATGATGGGGTTATAATGTCTTCCTCACAATGTTACTCACTCTTTAAGTCATTCACTCATTCAAAAGTATTTTTTTCCATAGATATTATGTACCAGGCTGCCCCTGACATTTGGGATACAACTGTTAATATATTAGACAAAGTCTATCTCATGGATTTGGGAAAGGGGCAGACAATAAACAAGAGAACGAGTTAAACCACATGAGAATTTGAGATGATAACAAACGTTCTTAACAAAACACAACAGAGTTTTGTGATAGATCGTATCCTGGGAGGGGCTGGTGAAATATTTTTCCCCAGCATATCACATGGGGCCTGGTTTATAGCAGTTATTCCATTTACATTTTAACTAAACACACGCCTGGACTCTAGTAAGTGCTCATTTCACGCATTTTCTTTCTATACTTGTGAAAGCTGATTTTTATAGCCTAAAGGAGCCAATATTCACTATACACACTAACCGTAACTTCAACTATTTTGATATTATAGAACCTTTACTCCATATTCATCATATACCAACTATTTAAATATGAATATGATCCACCACAAGGTAGGAGTTATGCAAGATTAAAAATAAAAGAATAGGCTGGGTGCGGTGGCTCACGTCTGTAATCCCAGCACTTTGGGAGGCCAAGGGGGGCAGGTCACAAGATCAGGAGCTCGAGACCAGCCTGGCCAATATGGTGAAACTCCGTCCCTACTAAAAACACACACAAAAAAAAAATAGCCGGACGTTGTGGCACATGCCTGCAATCCCAGCTACTCTGGAGGTAGAGGCAGGAGAATTGCTTAAACCTGGGAGGCGGGGATTGCAGTGAGCCAAGATCGTGCCACTGCACTCCAGCCTGGGCGACAGAGGGAGACTCCATCTCAAATAAATAGACAGACAGACAGACAGAGAGACAGATAGATCGATGAAGAGTATTTTACTCTTTTTTTACTTTCCTTACTAGTCTGGCCTGGGAGGTAAAATGTGCTCAAATAGAACTGCAATAAATGACAGTGCATTATAAGGTCCCTTAGTATAAAATGTTTTCTGTGTCAAGAAGTGGATCACTTATCAGGGGGCTAGAGGAGGGTTCAAGCAGGAAATGGGTTTTGAACTAGGTCTTAGATTTAAAAATGAAAATGCAGGAGCAAATGCTTTGTAGGAAATCTGTTTAAAATGTCTCATCCCCAGAGTTTCTGATTCACAAAATCTGGGGTGGGTCCCAAGAATGTGTATTTCTGACACATTCCCAGGTAATTTTCATGCATGTTTCCAGCTATGTTTTTTCCAAACAGTGATGTATTATACTTGGAAAGTTACTGTATCACTGCACCCTCCTGTACTATTATGGGGCATGAATGAAGTATATGCAAAGTGTGTGTGTGTGTGTGTGTGTGTGTGCGCGCGCGCGCATGCACACGTGCGTTCATTGTGTGGGTATATGGAGAATATCAGAATAATGATGAAGAATGTTTCATACACCATCAGGGGAAATTGTTATCCCTTTCTTTTGTCTCTGCTTTCCATCTTACACAACGTGACCCCCAAACGCTCTTCTTCTGCTCTCTTCTCCATACTTCCCAGACGCATCCTACCTATTATAATGTTAAATCAATGGAGTATTGCTATCAAGTTGAGATTAAAAACTGCTGGGGTCCTTAGAACCTCTGTAGTCTCAAAGTAATACAGAGTAGATCACAACTCTAGTCCCAGACATACCAGGGTCTTTCCTTGTCCAGCCATGTGTGTTCATCATTTCCTTAGTATTTTACCTTACAGTGGGTCAGTTAAGAAATTTTAAGGCCAGGGGCTGTGGCTCACGCCTGTAATCCCAGCACTTTGGGAGGCCGAGGCAGGTGGATCATGAGGTCAGGTGTTCAATACCAGCCTGGCCAACATAGCAAAACCCCGTCTCTACTAAAAATAAATAAATAAATAAAAATATTCAGGCATAGTGGCGCATGTCTGCAGTCCGAGGTACTTGGGAGGCTGAGGTAGGAGAATTGCTTGAACCCAGGAGGTGGAGGTTGCAGTGAGCCAAGATCACACCACTGCACTGCAGCTTGGGCAACAGAGTGAGACTTCATCTCTAAATAAATAAATAAAATAAATTTTAAAATAATGATCTTAATATTAAAGTTGTCCATCAGAGGCCAGGCACAGTGGCTCATGCCTGTAATCCCAGCAGTTTGGGAGATGGATCACCTGAAGTCAGGAATTCAAGACCAGCCTGGCCAACGTGATAAAACCCCATCTGTACTAAAAATACAAAAATTAGTCGGGCGTGGTGCACATCTATAATCCCAGCTACTCGGGAGGCTGAGGCAGGACAATCATTTGAACCTGGGAGGCAGAGGTTGCAATGAGTTGATATCTCCATGGCACTCCAGCCTGGAGGACAGAGTGAGACTCTATCTTAATAAATAAATAATAAAGTTATTCATCAGATACCAAGTATCTTTTTTAATCCCAAAGATACTCATTGAAAGATTGCATAAATACAGGTTCAGACAGCTAGCCCTGCCATGCCAGAGATACTGAGGAGAGTATGCCTAATGATCCCTCAACTGCACCATCACTAAATTATCTGCAGCCTCCTTTAATTTCAGACTCTTAAATCAGGATCTTCATAGCAAAAATAATTATGGTCATCTACCAAATTAACGAAGAAGCTTATTTTGGCATTAAATTCATTTTTAATGTGCTTCAAATAATAGAGTTTTTCAATTGAGGTAGAGCTTATTAAACATAAAATACTGGCAGGGATGTTTATGTATATTGTATCGCCTCTTTAGCTCAAAGATCTCAAGATCAAAATAACAGAAAATATATGTATTCTATTACAATATATTATGGCCAAAAATGTTGGGGAAACAAATATTTTCTACTTTGTCTAACTTTCAATGACATATTTTCAATTCTTATGTTTATTACTGGAAAAAACATATCTAATACCTTGGCCAATAAGCTTGAAGTATGAATCAAGGTTTGCAGTATAATATTGGACCTTCACAGTCTGCTAACAAATTATCTACACCTTGGCCCAGACTTGCTTCATAGTAGACTCTCTAAATAACCATAACTGACTGTTAAACAAGTGAATATCTCAAAGGACAGGTAATCAAATGAGCTCTACACCACTAATAGACAATTTTTCCACTAAAAAAGATTTATTTATATCTTCTTAATGTCCGCCTCGAGCCACAAATCTATAAAATGTTAGTTAGCAGGAGAAGCTGAAAATTAGGTGTGGTAAGAATGAAATCTAGAAAGTCATCTTCACGTTATATTGGCTTCATTTTTTCTTCTGTATCTTGTAATGTGAGGATGTGGGAGTAGTGGCATAAGGAAAAAAATGTTATGAACCATCCTTTTCTAGTCCGAAAAGAAAACCTCCATTTGTTTCTCTAACTACCAGGAAGCAACCTTAACTCTGTTCAAGAGATATCACTAGACTGGATTTGCTCTGGTGGCTGACAATAAATTGTAAGCTCAGTGGCTCAGATGGACAGCAAACTTATGTTTGGAAGTTGCTAAGGATGGCAACAAGAGACAACATGAAAAGGTAAAGATAGGTCATATTGCTAAAGACTTCAGTGAGAGTGAAAATACTCTACACTCTTTATAAAGGAGCATGCAATAATAGGAACTACACAATAACCTGGAAGTGATCTACGCTTACAAAATGCATCAGATGGAATTGAAAACATGTTCATGATATATTATTATTGTTTTTTAAATTAAGTCAGAAAAGAAGGTGCAAAAATCAATCTTAATTTTTGTTCAAATATGATTTAATAAAATATAAAGATAGAGAGGGAAGGAGGAAAAGAAATGGATTGTGAAAAGTTATGCTGGCAAGGTTGCATAGAAAAAAGAATACTTGACATTGCTGGTAGGGATATAAATTTGTTTAGCTGCTATGCAAAACAGTTTGGTGATTTCTCAAAGTACTTAAAACAGTACTACCATTCAACCCAGCAATCCTGTCACTGGTTATACAACCAAAGGAATATAAATTGTTTTACCATAAAGATGCATTCATGCATATGTTCATCACAGCACTATTCACAATAGCAAAGACATAGTATCAACTTAGATGTTCATCAACTGTGGACTAGATTTTAAAAATGTGGTACATATACACAGTGAAATACTACACAGCCATAAAAAAAAACAAAATCATGCCCTTTTTGGCAACACACATTTTCCTAAGCAAATTAACTCAAGAATAGAAAAATACCACATGTTCTCACTTGTAAGGATGAGCTAAATATTGAAAGCAAATGGACACAAAGAAGGGAACAATAGACCCTGGGGACTACTTGAGGGTGGAGGGTAGGAGGAGGGAGAGAATAAAAATCTACCCACTGGGTACTACGCACATTACACAGGCGACAAAATAATCTGTACACTAAACACCCACAACACACAATTTACCCATGTAACAAGCCTGCACATGTACCCCCTGAACCTAAAGTAAAACTAAAGGGGAAAAAATTTAGAGAAAAATTAGAAAATTTAATGTGAAACTGCCAATAGTAGTTGACTCCATGAGTAGAATTGAGGGTCAGGGTTTCATACAGACACTTTATACTTCTTTAGCATCTGCATTTGGAACACTGAATATAGATAGCATGGTGTAATAGAAAGAGTCTTTGGAGTCAGAAATATCTAAAGTAAAATTTTGTCTCAAGTTTACTGTGACTTTGTAATATTACTTATTTTCTCTGTACCTTAGTTTCCTTGGTTCCTATAAAAGACAACTATATCTGCATTGTAAGACAATGTGAAAATAAAATGAGATTCTATATATGAAAATACTAACACATGAGAGTCATTCAGTGTATGCAATCTACTATTATTTCTCATATTCTAAGCCCTGCTGGAAGGAAGGAAAAGGAATATATTAGATTAATCACTCTTTCTTTACCTTTAAATGGAATACTTTTAAGAAAAGAGAACTCCATAGGGCAACAGGGAAAGTCAACCTGGAAAATTAATCTTATGACTAGTTATTTCTGTCTTCTCACAGTATTTCACAACCTATTGAACTCATATGTTTTAAGTAACCCATGTGACAAAGTAGAGGTGTTGAAGTAAGGAATGGTCAAATGATTGTACATGGGACAGAAGAAAAAGGGCTTCACCCCACCTTCTCAAGAGACAGAGACAAGTTTTTCTTTCCAGGTGTTTGCCTTCTCTTTTATATTGGATGCTTACTCACTGGCCACCCCCACAAAGCCGTACCACATTTTCTTTCTTTCTTTTTTTTTTTTTGAGATGGAGTCTCCCTCTGTTGCCAGGCTGGAGTGCAGTGGCACAATTTCAGCTCACTCTGCCTCCTGGGTTCAAACGATTCTCTGGCCTCAGCCTCCTGGGTTCAAACGATTCTCCACCTCCTGGGTTCAAATGATTCTCTGGCGTCAGCCTCCCAAGTAACTGAGACTACAGGTGCATGCCACCACATCCAACAAATTTTTGTATTTTTGGTAGAGACAAGGTTTCACCATGTTGGACAGGGTGGTCTCGATCTCTTGACTTCGTGATCCGCACTCCTCAGACTTCCAAAGTGCTGGGATTATAGACGTGAGCCACTGCGCCTGGCCGGCATTTTCTTACTCACTCAAATATTTTTCAAAGCCTGAAGGAATTAGTTACTAAGTTACAGTGCCAAACAGGCTACTGAAACAAGGAAGACTAGGAAGTTTGGTTTATTAGATAAATATAGTTTATGACAAAGTTTCTGATTTTCACACTTCGACATTAAGTAAAAAATCCTAACCCTGGGGTTGCAGTACTGACCAAGCTCTCATAAATTAGTCACCCTGGTCTAGTCTACAAAATAGGACCGTGACATCTAAATCCTGAAAGGAAACACTTTCATATTATTTAGCACTTCTGTTTTCATTAGGACATATGAACATATTTAAATTCAACATTGAGTAAATATAATTCAGTATGTATTTATTTGACCTCCATGTACTCAGAACTATGGCAACTGCTATGAACAATGTCAAAGAAATTTAATATCACTGCTATGGTCTGAATATCCTCTCCAAAACACATGTTGAAATTTGCCCTTGTGGTGGTGGGAATTTGGGAGGTGATGGGGCCATCAGGGCTCTCCCCTCATTTGTAGAATTAATGCCATTTTAAAAGAATGAATTAGGCTCCCATTTGCCCTCTTTTCCTTGGATCTTCTGCCATGTGAGATGAAGTATTTCTTCCTCCAGGAGGACAACACAGCATTCAAGGCACTATCTTAGAATCATCAAATCTGCCAGCATCTTGCTACTGGACTTTCCAGCCAACAGAATTGTGAGCCAATACGTTTCCATTTATAAATAATCCAGTCTGTGGTAGTCTGGTATGGCAGCACAAAACAAACTAAGACAAACCCTTACTACAAGAAGCCTACATCCTCGTTAATTATAACTAACATCCACGCAGCACTTATCTCAATTTTTATTATCTGTTTTTTAACAATTTAAGTATCAAATTTTGGCAGACATGGTGGCTCGTGCCTGTAATGCCAACACTTTGGGAGGCCAAGGTAGGAGGATCACTTGTGTCCAGGAGTTTGAGGCCAGCCTTGGCAATATAGTGAGACTATGTGTCTACAAAAAATGAAAATAAAAAATCAGCCAGGAGTGGTGGTGTGCACCTCTAGTTCTAGATCAGGGACTGAGAAAGAGGCTGACACAGGAAGATGACTTGAGCCTGAGAGGTCGAGGCTGCCGTGAGCCATGATCATGCCACTGTACTCAGCCTGAGTGACAGAATAAGACCTTGTCAGAAAGACAAAAACAAATCCAGAACACATTTGAAGTACTATAATTTTTAGCCATACATCACATGACGAAAGTGTTTGGTAACCCTTAATAAACACACAATGTAATGATCTTAAAAAGGAAAGATGCCTCAGTACATCTCTAAAAGAATTGGTTGATTTCATTTTGTTAGTAATAGAAAATTAAATTAACCTTTTCTGCTTTTTAATTATACTTTAAGTTCTGGAGTACATGTGCAGAACATGAAGGTTTGTTACATAGGTATACACACACGTGCCATGGTGGTTTGCTGCACCCGTCAATCCATCATCTACATTAGGTATTTTTCCTAATGCTATCCCTCCCCCAGCCCCCTACCCCCCTACAGACCCTCCTTGTTCTCCTTCCCATGTCCACGTGTTCTCATTGATCAACTCCCACTTATGAGTGAGAACATGAATTGTTTGGTTTTCTGTTCTTGTGTTAGTTTGCTGAGAATGATGGTTTCCAGCATCATCCATGTCCCTGCAAAGGACATGAACTCATCTTTTTTATGGCTGCATAGTATTCCATGGTTTATATGTGCCACATTTTCCTTATCCAGTCTATCACTGATGGGCATTTTTCTAACCAAAACATTATAGAATTTGTAATGCAAATAAGCTTAACATGTTAATGAGAAAAGGAAAACTACAAGTTATCTGGTAGAAACACTGTTAAAAAACTTCTTGGATTATTCTGTCAGTATAATATTTGAAGGAATCACTCAATACAATAGGAAATAAGCTGTGATAATTAGTGACATAACAAAGTCAGATAAATTAACTCAGCCATACTTAGTGAGAAGGTTGATAGAAAACTTAAGTCTCCTTAATACTAGTGCTTCGTTCTTCAGATTCTGGTATAATTTGATAGCAGGACATATACATATGTATAGCATATATTTCAATAAATCTATAGAATGCTTTTCTAGTTTTCTATCACAAGCACTCTGAACATTAACATTACACATGTTAAAGTTTAAGCATTGAGTTTATTGAGGCTTTCTTCAAGTTTTCTTAACACAAGAATGCTGTATACTTGATTATTCCAGATGCATCCCTAATGAGATTTTACAGGAGTCATTGTGGTTGCGCATGGTAAGGATGAGGTCTACTGAAACTTTTTATTTCCTAAATGCCTTATATTAAAAAGTCCTTACATCTCTTATTCAAGATTTCCTACTAAATTGTTTACAAAACTTCCTTGCTGAATAATCACAGTAAGGTGGTTAGCTGGGTAGTAGACACTAAGGAATGCTGGGTTTCCGGGGAAACAGTGCCACGGGAAGCAACAAAAGAGACAACAAAAACTGTAGATGTTATATTACACAATATTTTTTTTTTTACTCCTGTTATATTGTTATACATTGTTATTCTTGCATTTTCCTTCTTTCTGGGAGACATTG
Organism: Homo sapiens; assembly: GCF_000001405.40. NCBI lineage: Eukaryota > Metazoa > Chordata > Mammalia > Primates > Hominidae > Homo > Homo sapiens. The sequence goes on along the minus strand of NC_000011.10, from coordinate 49,594,156 downwards.
TCTCTCTTTAAGAACTCTAAAATTGACACCAATAACAACACACCAAGCATGACATTAGTATAAAATCTATTAACCAGAATTCATCTTTTTTCAAAATAATACAATGACAATGGGTGCAAGTATGAAACACATTTTTTTGATCAGCTGATCCTAATGTATTTCCTAAATGATAAAACTTGGATATTTTACATCTTCCCTGATTCTTCCAGTAAAATTCTTTTTCAATAAAAGTGTCTTCAGAATGATTGGCCTTTATAAGAGAGCCCAAATGGTTTTTTTCTTATACAATATGTTGTGTCTCTTTGGCTTTATCAGTGGTTACAGAGCTTTGTGGTAATCTCAAAATATCAACACCATCCATCCTGGGGAAGTATTTTCTCCAGCAAAAGGAGAAAAAGCAAGACAGAAACAATCATAAGGCCATGTGAGGTTGACTTTCTCAGGGAGCACTTTGATAAATACGTTCTTTTATTTAATGTCTTTGTGCCTTCATTTCCTCATCTGGTAAATGGTAATTAAAAGTACTTAACTCATAGCATTATTGTAAGGACTAAATAAAATAGAACCACAATGGCTGGAACATATTAAGGAGTTAGTATTAGCTATGACAATAAAAGTAATCATATATTTAAAGAATAACTCTCTAAAAATATATAAAAACAAAGTCCTTAAGATGGGTTGTTTGATGTTCTCAAGTTAGTATAAAATTGAGAATCTTAGGAACAGATGATCTAATTCAAAATTCTATGATCTTATGCCCTATCATACTTAAGAACACTGAATTATTGGTAAAATATTCTAATACTATGGACAAACACCCTATAGTTTACATGCGTATTTGACTAACTAGTCCATGGTGGAAGTAAAACTAAACATGATTCTAAATATAAATGTGTCTAGGAGGGGAAAACTTATCCAATTAGATGATTTAAAAAATTATTGGAAGAGTTGAAATAAAAATTACTTGTAGAGTTAAGAGTAGAACTTATGAAGAAAGATTAAAGGATGATTTACCTTAGAGTTGAGGTCTAACAAATTTTAGTAAAAATCTTACTCTGGATATATGGACACATTATATATTTAAAACTTCAAAATTATATTTTGTAAGACAAAAACTTTATTTCAAAAGCAACTTAAAGTGGGTTATCCATGGGAAAGGATAGGCACAAAGTTTTCTTTCTTAAGCCAGTAATAAGATGAGTGTTTTTATACTACCTAAACTTTTTATGCCAGCAATTATTTATTTAAAACACTTACAATATTGCCGTTATAATAAATCTTAAAAACTATTAATATATTTTCAAGTTGTACAAGAATCTAATCTTTTTGATTATTTTTGTTTTTGTTGTTATTAATTTAATTAGATTTTTTAAATGCAGAGATAAATATCACATATTTATATTCCTTTATGTGCTTTTTGGAACTGTGAAAAATAAAAAAGACTCTGAGGGCTCCCCAACTGGCAATGTTGTGGAGAAAAGATAGGATATTATAATGCCACGAATAACAATGTCCATAAAAAGTATGAATAACAAGAGAAAATGTGCTCCTTACAATGCTCAGTAAAATGAAAAAATGCAAACAAAAACATCCAATATTATGTATATAGCTGCATTTTTAAATTGTGCATAAGATAATTAGAAATGATGATAAAATGTTGAAAAGTTTGATTTCTGTTGCAATATTAGCAATTAAAAATTTTTTCTTCTCTTGTTTCTTTTCTAAATGTTAAATAATACCTAGCTATTAAATCACTTTTATATTTGGAAATCATGTATCTTTTAAAATATATTATTTGCATCCTCCTTATTTTCACTTAATACATATAGTTTAAGTTGTTCTCAGACACCAGAATATTAGGAGAATAATTCAAAATCCAAAAAAAGGACTTGAGAAGTTACACTTGAAATCATGGCTAGGCCAAAACAAAAATAAGAAAAATAGTATTAACAGATAGCACTTATTGACTGTCTATTATATACTATACATCATAAATATTGCATACATATTTTTTAAAATACTATTAATTTAATTTGCATAAATATTTGATGTTTGTTTACCATTATTTTCATTTTCTGTGACTTGGTTTAAATAAATTAATGAATGCAATGTGCTCAGAAAACTGCCTGGACACCTGGTAAATTTCATGTAATTGTTTTCTAGCAGTAGCAGCATCAATTATTTTACAATTGATGAAAGTTGAGATTTACAAGGGTTAAATAAGTTGTTCAAATTCTAGTTTATTTAACCATAGAGTCTAGATCTATGTCCTTAAACACAGTGATAAAAACAGTAAACTAAAAAAAGCATATAATATATATACATACATATTTCAATTATAATAGAACATACATTTGTTGTGAGAATGAGTGCCTTAAAATAAATATTATCTGAATGTTAAGCATATTTTCCGAACAGTACCCTGGCACCAGGAGCCTCGTTCTGTGCAAGCACTCCTACTCACCAGCTCTGTGACCTTAGACAAGTTGCTTAAATTTCCTAGACCTGAGTTGCTTTTCTAAAAATGAGGAGGTTGAAAAAGAACAAATACTGGCAGGAACTAACATTTTTGAACCCTTATTGTGTGCCAAGTATTATGCTAAATTAATGATCACAACTGTCCTATGAGCCAACAATATTGATAATCATCCCTTTTTTGAAATGTGGTAATTTAGGCATAGGGAACTTGCTTCATTTCCACAGCAAATAGTGTTGGACCAGCAAATGAGATAACACCTGGTATTTAAACCCAAGTGTATCTGAATTCAATGTCTGCACTCTTTCTTGATGACTACTCAGAGCTCCCACTGCTGGAACTCTCAGATCTGTCCCTTCCAGATCTGAAACTTTATGAATATTGTTAATTACTGATGGAGCATAAATATGTGAAAAAGGAGTTTAACTTCTTCCCCCAGCCAATCAATATCTCACTGTTTTTGCTGTTATAAAGACATCATTAATGAAGTCTTTGATTAGCACCTAATTTCCAAAGTACTGTACTCAATATTTTGTAAGAAAACTTAAAAGCCTAGTCCAAGTGCATAGATCTTGGCACATAGTGAGTGTTCATTTAATAATTAATTTATCAGGCAGTCGTACACTTACAAAGTGCATTAACTGATTATTCAACTGACCACCATAACAAAACATTGGTACAGAAAGTGCAGGTACAGCCATCTGTCATCTTGCAAATGAGGATCTGTCTATTTATAAAGGTTAAGTGAGCTGCCCAAGGTCATCCCAAAGTGGAAAATAAAATATGGTTTCCAGAGCAATTCCAAGATTAATACTCTTTCCACTGACCTTGAAACCAAATTGTTTTTATTTTGTAAAAGTATCAGAAACAAAGTTTTACATATTCAAGCTGAATTACTTCAGCATTAATTTCTGCTCTTTCTTGGGAATGGTTAAAATTTATTTCAGTTGCCTATGATTAGAAATTGTGTACAATCTGCAAAACTCCACTCATGTCCACTTTAGTATTTCATATATAAAATGTTGAATTTTTAAATTTTTCTTTTTTGTGTTTCTAAAGGACATTTTTTTATCCAGCTAATGGCTCAAGTGTTATACTCTCTTCAGCCTCTTCAAATTTTTAAATTGTATGCATCAATTTTCCATGTATTGACAGACTGAAGGTAAAAGCAAAAGTATGTAACAGGTTTTGAAGCTAGGAGAAAAATTTCCAGCCAAACAAACTCAAATTACTAATCTCCAAAGTCACAAATAATGCAGTCTCCTTTAAAAAAGGTACATTCCAAATACGAGAAAGCAATTCAACCCAACCATCAATTATATTGATTATTCAAAAGAAGAGAAAAAGTAAAAGGCTAAGACTCAGAAAAAAACAGGAATAAAAATAAGATTGAGAATTTCAAAAAAGAGACAGATACCAAGAAACATTTGAGATTATGAATCAATTCAGTCAAAGATGTTAAATTTATACCAAGAAAAATGTAGCACGGTTAAAATATAAAAAGTGTTTATTTAAGTCTTTCCATAGTTCCACACAGATAATTAGATAATTATTATGAGAGGTCGAATAGTCCTAAAAATAAATTGTTTCACTGTTAAATAAGCCAGAGAATATCTTAATTACTTATTATGGATTTTATAGGTTATTGTTTAAAGTTGTATGCTATATCTGTCAGTGTGGAAGATTTAAAATCTCACTCTTTCATTAAAAAATGATATTAATGGTGTGCAATTCAGACTTCCTGTCTCAAAGGGAACAGTACTGATGATCTTCATACTGAATCAGAGCCATTCAATAGCATAAACAAAAAGGAATTACTACACCATCTACAGTGCTCTAAATGATATAAAATAACATTGTATTAAACAAAAACACAACACAATTTTTTTTTTACTTCAACCAAAGCTATCCATACATATTCTATTCATCTCTTGCCATATAGATAACTTTGTGAGTTTCTGCTTACATATGAACATATTCTTTCTATGAGGGGAAATGTTCTATTTTTATGGAGCCATGGCTTGGTATATATCTGAGAAAACTCATGTGCTAGCAAGTGCTTCCATTTCACTTTTTCCACAGTATCTACCACAGAGCTGAGTACAGACTATCTACCCAATAAATATTTGTAGACTAATGAATAAAATAATTTGTTTGTGGTAGTATCACGTGGACCTCAAGCTCTATTTGGTGTGCTTTCCTGGACTATATATTTGCATTGAAATGCAAATATCTGTATTTCATTGAAAATTATATTTTGTCCAAAAATTTCTCTCAAAGCACAAGTTTTAGGTTATTTTTATAAGTTCAAAATCTTGTCAAATTAAAGTACTACCAAGCCCTCAAATCTGTTTTTTTTTTTTGGGCGGGGGGGAGGGAATGTATTAGGTATAAGAGGCTTTGCTGTTATCAATTTTATATAAATACAAAGTCGTATAATATTGTAAGCTTGATTTTTAGCATATGTATTTTAATAAAACCTATAGTTTTAACATAATATATAATGGAATCTATAGTTATTTACATGTTTTTGTATCCTCTGAGCAAAAAATTCATATCAATTATTCTCAATCATCCAAATTATAAGAAATGAATGAATGCATTGAGAATTGAAAACAATAAAATTCAATTTCATTACAAATAATATAGCCAGATAGTATATTTCTCTGTCTTCACATATTTCCTGTTTTATGAAATCATTTCCATAAAAACATATTGTCAACATCATTTGTAGCTTTTTTCTTTTTTTAATTATACTTTAAGTTCTAGGGTACATGTTCACTAATTCCATAAAACTGAAATTAAACTGACATGTACTTCAGTATGTCTTACTTAACTTTTATATTTTTTCAGCTTCTCAAAGGATAAAATGCTATCATATGTAATTCAGTAATATATTTTTCATTAACAAAAATGGTGCTCTAACTTTATTAGGGAAAGTCAAGGATTGAAATCCTAACCCAAATCTAGTGAAGGTCAAATATATGACAGTTGAAAAGAGGGTATATAACCAAGTAATATGAAGACAGTTTCTGAAGAAATCATTAAAAATACAAATAATTATATTTTTATTGTTCTTGAGGAAAGGAATGCAGAAATATCTTTTCATTCTAGTTTTATTCTATCTACTTTTCATTGCAGCTATGAATGAGACTACTGACTTTCAGGTAGTATTAATAATATATTAATAACAGCACAAAAATCTACCTTGATATCACTTTATAGAATAAAGGAACTTTTACAATTTCTGAAAATAAACACTTGATAAATAAGGTATATATTCATTGTTATTATTGGAACTACAACAATCTGGCAGAGCATTTAATTTAGTTTTCAAACTAATGCAGCAATTAAATGTAATCTGCCTATTTCCTAGGGTCCATGTTATTTCTTTTGGTTTTAACCTCAGGCCCATGGCATATCTCAATGTGCTACAACTTGCTTCTATTAACAAAGTTTCTAGTTGGACAAGTAAAGGCACATGAGCATGTCCAATTTGAAATTTACAAAGAAGTTATCTATCTACTGCTTGCACTTATTTTTTTTCACTATAAAATTTGCTTATGCTTGTTGAAAATGTAAAAAGGAATTCAAAAGTACTTGAAGTATAGCATTAAGTTTCCATCTTTAATCCCCTGTAGTTTCATCTCCTACACCCACGCACATCAAAGATAACCATGTTCACAGCTCTGGAACTGTCCAGGCCTTGCTCATCTTACCACAGCATAATGCCTCTCAACATACATCACCAATTGGAGGAGGAAAGTGTGGGGTGTATTTGTACTTATGCCAAAGCAATAAGCACCCTACCTTTTTCGTGCAATTGCAAACTTATCTTCTAAAGTGAAAATTAGTAAGAGTCTAAAACTCACTACATATATTGGTAACTTTCCTGACCAATTCTCCACTCCATTATGTTGTCAATTATGACTGGGCAACAATTAATTGAAACATCATTTACGTTTTTTTTCTTCAAGGCCAAGATAAGGCAAGACAGGTTCTTGGCAGGAAAATTTAGAAGATACTTACTGAATGTTTTCTATGTGCCAAGCTTGATACTAAGTGCTTTATATTTAGTTTTCAAAACAAACTTATAGGGGAGGTATTTTTATCTCAATTTGATAATGAGGAAATTAAATGTACTTGTCCAAAGTCCCTCAACTAGCAAGACTATTAATCAGTATTTGTACTCAAATTTGCCTGGGTTCATCCTACTACTTAAATGAGAACTATTTCAAAGGGTCAAAAAACAGATTCCAAAGATATTTTTGCAACAAACTGTGAATTTAAGTTATTGCACTGTAGGTTACTTATTTCATTAAACTACTTTTATAATACTTTTAAAAGCACACTCTCATACATTACCATAATATATTTTACCCATAGTATTTGGCCCAAGCTTCTCATTCTCAAAAGAAGTCTAAATTTTAGACTTGACTATATATCAAATGAAATTATTCATATAATTTTTGGGACACTCAGAGAATAGTGGAAGATTGCCACTTTATATATTTAAACTTGTGGCTTATTACACATAGTGCACATGTGGTGTACTATGACTTGTTTATATAGCCAAAAAGTTATCTTGTAAATGGCACAAATGCCTTATATTTTATGTGCTTGTACCTGTATGTCTCTGTGTATGTGTGGGGGGGGAGTTAGAAATGTTAATTTGTTAAATGTAAATGTTTAATGTCAAAATAATAATATTTTTGGCATTTATTTCTTAGTGTACTATATTGGGATATTAAAAATTAAAATGCTCCCAGGCTGTCTTTATCACTGATAAAAACTAGGACTAGAAACTCCCCTGACCTCCTTGTCTAGTATCCACTCCATTGTCCTATCCTGATGCGTATACCATTTACCAAAATTATACCAATTATTTACATAATTGGTATAATTGTTCAATGAGTAACCTACAGTGCAATAACTTAAATTCACAGTTTGTTGCAAATATATCTTTGGAATCTGATTTTTGACCCTTTGAAATAATTCTCATTTAAGTAGTAGGATGAACCCAGGCAAATTTGAGTACAAATACTGATTAATAGTCTTGCTAGTTGAGGGACTTTGGACAAGAAAATTTAATTTCCTTATTATCAAATTGAGATAAAAATACCTGCCCTAAGAGATAGTTGTTCGATGCTTCTATCATTTCCTACCATGGGTGCCTTGAAATTTTTGCTTGTTTTAAATAAGACATAAACCCATCACTCCAGAAAATATAAATTAAATGACATTGTCACAGAAGAATAAATTCATGTGTATTGGTTACATTTCTCTAGAAAAGTATTTAGGAACAAAGTGAAAAAGAGAAGTAGAGTAAGTCACTTTTAAACTTTTAATTTTTTAGCTGCAAGACACAGAAGAAATATATTTTAAATGATAACCCACAGGCTATTTATGGCTATGTGTAACTAAAGTGAAATTTACAAAATATCTAACCTATGATGTAATACATGTTGATATTTACATTTTACTCTAGTCTATTTTAATGTATTCTCTATTAAATTCTGATTTCAACCCTCTAAATTGGTTTTACAAATAACTTATGAGTTATCCACTATTTAAAAAAAAAGAAAAACACGGACTAGATAATCTCTTTCTTTAGAATCTCATTGTGTGTGTGTGTGTGTGTGTGTGTGTGAAAATCAATGTGTAAATGTAACATTGGGCTGCAGTCACTTTACAAAGTCCCCTAAAATAAATGTATTTGACTATTACACCTCTTGCCAAAACATCTCCTCAATTCAACATGTGAATGTTTGATAAATCTTTCTGGAGTATTTGCAAATGTGCCAAAATGAGATTTCATAACCCACAACCCTGATGAATTCCAAAGAATTGCCTTTCATATATAAGGCTACATTATTTAACAATATATCCTCCAGCTCTTAAAAAATTCTGTACCATATTGCTTCCTGCTATTATTGGCATCTGAAGGACAGAGTGTGGAGCCTGTGATGGAGATGTAAATAGAAACAACCAAGCACAGTCTGTGCTTTTCATCAGACTCACGAAGAGGTCTTCGTTGAGGTCAACTTGTTACCACAGGCCCCCTCCTTAATTTGTTTTCTTTTCACTATAATTAACCCATTCCATGGGAACAAGGAAAGGTGCTGCTTTCAAAGCTAGATGAAAAGACACAAAAATATGCTCAAAAGATACTCTCAGTGGAGAAACAAATAGGGTTTTTTGTTTCCCAGGGAAGGAAAAAGAACCAGGTGATGTCCATTCTACTTTTCCTTGGAGCCACACCTACTCCAATGTAAAGGAATGAGATTTAGATTTGTTTCAAAGGAGTTGGCTTTGGATCTAAATCCTTACTCTGCCACTAACTTTAGCTGCAGAAAAAAAATCACTCTTTCCTTGTCCATTCTACTAAAATGGTTACTTTATCAGACTGTGTTATGAAATAAACAAACTAACCAAATTTAAAATATATTATATGTGGCCGGGTGCAGTGGCTCACGTCTGTAATCCCAGCACTTTGGAAGTCCAAGGCAGGCAGATCATGAGGTCAGGAGATCAAGAACACCCTGACTAACATGGTGAAACCCCCTCTCTACTGAAAATACAAAAAAATTAGCTGGGCATGGTGGCACGCACCTGTAATCCCAGCTACTTGGGAGACTCAGGCAGGAGAATTGCTTGAACCTGGGAGGTGGAGGTTGCAGTGAGCCAAGATCGCACCACTGCACTCCAGCCTGGGTGACAAATTGAGACTCCATTTCAAAATAAAAAAATATATATATATATAAAGTGATTATGTTTCAACTCACAAAGTAGTAAGATCCCAATGGCAACTGATTGTCAACATTGGGAATTATCAGAAGAACAAATAGTCCAACATCGTTCTTTCCTCAACTGAGGTTTAAGTCCATTTTTCCAGAGTCCTCCAAGTGATTGTCCATTCCAGGTTTGTGCACAAGGAGTTACAGAGAACTAACTCACTACCTCCTAAGAGAGGCAATTCCTTTATTGAACAGTTCTGCTAATAAACAACAAAAAAATTTTTTTAATTAAACCATACTTTGTTACTCTTGTATTTTAGTAATTAGCTGTCTCTGCCAACTGCTGGCCATACAGAGTGAACCTAGCTCTTTTCCACCTGAATTTACAAATATCTAAATAAACAAAATATGTAAATATATCAGATACCTAAAGGTAGCAGTCAGGGCCCTGCTGTGTCTTGTCTTCTCTCTACTAAATTTATTCTCTGAGGATATGATTTCAAATTGCATAACCATTTGGGCTACTCTCCTTTGAACAGGCCCTGCTTGGCTGCATTTGATATTGGTCTTGCCCTGTCACCCAGGCTGAGTGCAGTGGTGCAAACTTCGCTCACTTCAGCCTCAACCTCTTGTCCTCAAGTGATCCTCTGCCACAGTCTCCCAAGGAGCTGGGTGCACACCACCATGTCTAGCTAATTTTTCTTTTTCTTTTTTTTTTTTTTTTTTTTTTTACTTTTTGTAGAGACAGAGCCTTATTATGTTGCCCACCCTATGTCCAACATTTAATGTAGCCCAGCTGTAGTCTGCAGAAGTTTGATCATAGCAAGTCACAGAAACTTAGTCTTGGAAGAAATCTGTATGAACATTATTTGCAGTGCCTGTTTGTATATAAAAAAAAAAGATGCAAGGAGTTGAAGTGACTTTCTTGGAGTCACAGAGTAAAATCCTTAGTTCTCATGTCAGTTATCTTACTTTTAGCACAGTTAGTCATTTTAACTTATTTTTCCAACTCCAAGATAGTATTAATGTAATCTTCATATTTTATCTGTTCACTATCAAATTAACAGGATAATGACGAGACTGACAGAAGAGCCTGCAAAAACAAAAACAAAACAAAACAAAACAAAAACACTTCCAGTTAAAAAGAGATGAGGAAAAATGATAAATAAGAAAGAAAGACAATGTCGATTGTGGTAGCTCACACCTGTAATTCCAGCACTTCAGGAGGCCAAGGCAGGTGGGAGTTTGAGACCAGCCTGAGAAACACAATAAGGCCTCATCTCTACAAAAAATTAAAAAATAAAAATTATTCACACGTGGTCACATGTGCTTGTAGTCCCAGATACTTGGGAGGCTGAACCAGGAGGATCATTTGAGACAAAGAGTTTGAGACTGCAGTGATCTATGACCATGCCACTCTTCTTCAGCCTGGGCAATAGAGAGAGACCCTGTCTCAAAGAATAAAAAAAGAGAGAGAGAAAGGGAGAGAGACAAAGAAAAGGGAAGGAGGATAGGAAGGTAAGAAGTTATAAAGGAAGGAAGGAAGGAAAGAGAAGGAGGATGGAAGAAAAGGAGGAGGGAAGGAAGAAAAAAAATTCTCAAGATACTCCCTCGAGAGTTTTGAGGATCTCTATTCTTGCTTTCTCTTATATGCTTGCTTAGTTTATGTTGGGCAGAATTTACTGTGCATAATTTGCTTTTCATTCTGTGTTTTATGTGTTTCAAGCTGTACATTGGAACATAAACATCTCACAGCATGCCCTCTCATTCCCCAGGGTTCCTTATGCAGAAGCAACTTCAACAGAAGTGGCTGAACACTATAAACCTAGAAGCTAAAAGGTTTTAATGACATCTGGAATAAGAGTGACCAAGGGAAAACATGCATGTGTGCGGCTGCCATCCATAAGAAGGGTAAATACTGAATACCTGATAGGCTACATCCTAAGAGATGATCTTCACATTTAGGTAAGCATCTGATTATTTAGAACTGTGGAAGTGTCCACAATTGCACATCACCAGAGATATTTGTGCATTATGGGGGAGCAGTGCAGTGAAATCCGCTGAAAACAAAATTCCTTTTAACTCAGCTTAGTCATCCTGGACATGGAGTATTTGTGGGCGTTTTCTAGTATTTTCAGCAATTGATGACAGCAATGGTGCCTAAGAGAGAGGAAGGTGGGATGCTATCCCAGGCATTAGTCTCTTATAGGTGAGCCAGAGTCTAAGCCAGAAATTGTATCATCAGAAATGAATCTGAATATAGAAGAAACACTGCCCAAACCACATGTGGATATGTCAGCAAGCTCTATATTTTTCTCTGAAAGAGGCAATAATAACTCTCTTAGAAATTATTTACTGAGTCCATAGGCTGTTCCTTCTGGAAAGGGAAGAGGAGGGAATGCCCCTCTAAACACTCCTTCCAGAGCTATCTGTATTTTTTTCACTGTTAGCAATGAAGTTTCTGACAGTGATATATGAATATGAAAAACTGTTTCTTTACAATTAGAGTTGCCCACTGTGTTTCCCAGATTACGGATCCATGATCCAACTTACTAAAGAATTCCCCTAAAAGTTTCTGCATCTTCTAAATTGTATATATTGTTAAGTCAGTGGTAACTAATATAATTATACAATCAATCCATAATTTCAAAGATTTCTGGGGATCTCATGTTTTCAGAATTTTTGTGGAGCAAAGGAAAATCTTTCAGAGCTTCCGCAAACCTTTGATATGACCCAGGAAAAGGAGCACTTCATCTAATTTACAGATCAAGAGCAAATTGATCATGCTATTTCTCAAGGCTAATTTTTATTTTTATTTTTCGAGACAGTTTTGCTTTTGTCACCCAGGCTGGAGTGCAATGGCGTGATCTTGGCTCACTGCAACCTCCACCTCCCAGGTTCAAGCAATTCTCCTGTCTAGGCTAATTTTTAGATGAATTATTTCATTTGTGGTCCCTTCTACTATTTCAGATAGTTATTAACACTTTCAGCCAATTGTTTAGAAATATTGGTGCCATTGAGATAAAGGGAGAGCGAATAAAACAATGCAATGGAGGGGTAGAAAAATGGCAAAAAGGAATCTGACTAATAATCTCCAGCAATGTTTTGGAAACCAAGTTCTGGACAGAAATCTTGAGTTCCAAGACACAACTCTGCAACTAATTATCTGACAAGCAAGGTAGAGTTATGTGACCTTTCTATTTTAGTTTCCTTAACCGTAAAATACAGAAGATTAAATGCTGGCCTGAGACACAGTGTTCACATTCTATGGAAGGAATAGTACTTTATGTGTCTTTATTATTACCATGATCATCCCAAAATTTGTTTTAACTCTCAGCACTATTCAATTCCTGGGGAAACAAAATAAAGTCCTTTTAAAAATTATTCAGTAGCTTCCACAGTGCCATTTATTATTTTTCCAAGCTAAATTGTCTTGTATAATGATAATTAGTAGAAATGCTGAGATGGTAAAAGTGTACTTTTTAGAAGTCATACAAGCATATAGACTATTATTTTTCCAAGCTAAATTGTCTTGTATAATGATAATTAGTAGAAATGCTGAGATGGTAAAAGTGCACTTTTTAGAAGTCATACAAGCATATAGACTATGAATCATACTGAAGGTCCTTCAATCAAAGCTGGATTGTTATCACATTTTTAAGTAAATAACTGATGGGAAGTCATATTATAACCTGAAATTGCAATCTCTAGGTTAACCTGAAGACCATATTTTTAATAATGTATGCTACCAGTACAATTTATTGGTACATTTTTCTCCTCAGAACATCACTGATTTGTTTTTTGCTGTAACAAATTAACATTCCTGTCATTAGACAGAAATAATAAATTCAAGAAACAGTGAAAACAAAAAATGAAGTGTAGCATGAACAGGATTTTACAATTAATCAAGGGAGTCATTTTGACACCTCATTTTTATAAAGAAGCAAAACTGAAAACTTACAAGTGCCTGCTATTTATCCACATACTATAGTCATAAATAGTGAGCTACCTACTTTACTAACACAAATTCCTCTATTCAGCAAATAGTCTTTGAGCACATACTATATGATGGGCACTCTAATAGGCCCTGTGGATATACTGTAGATTTTCAACTAAAGTCAGGAAAACTAGTGAAGTGTGAAATCTTGTCAATCACCCAGAAAGTACAATATAAAATTTTTTTTGTATAAAACACAATGCAATAATTACTTTTCTCAATGAAGTTGAACTAGATCAAGGTAAAGAATATAATAATGAAATATATTCAAGTGCTTAACTATTTGAAACATTCAGACTTTAAGGGAACTATCACATCTCTAGCCACAGAAGCATAGGCAAAGCATTTTAAATATTTCTTCTTGTCCACAGTATATATTCTATTTTATTTCATATTCAAATTTCAAGAATATTAATGCATGTTAATTTATTTTTTTGCTTTTGAAGTTTAAGCAGTAGTATCTTATTTGGGAGGAGGGAAGTTAGAGACTAAAGTGAGAGGGATGAGTATGTTTATACTGGACTCCATCCTGATGGCATTTTTAATTGCTCACAATAATAGTCAGCTGGGTAATGTTGAGGGTTTCAGCTGGGCTCAATTATGTGATTGCAATTAGCTGTGGGTTGGAAAGGCAATTTTGTTGATCTGCATTGCACGCTCTCACATGTTTGAGGTCAACTGGTCTAAGATGCACTCATTTGGAAAACCTGGGTGCTCTCATACTTCACAGGATAACAATAGGGTTCCAACACAAACTAGGAAGAAAGTTCTCACATCAACCAAGTGCTATTGGTCAAAGTGTCAGAAGGCCAGTGCTACATGAAAGTAAAAGGGAATTATCAAGTCAAAAGCAAATGATGTGAATACAGAGGCGCCAGTAGTAGAAGTCATCAATGCAATCTGCCACATTGCTAAATGGGCAAACACCATCAATCCTGTGTCATCGTGGGCACATGTATCAAGGTTTGCAAAAGTACTAAGGCAAAGGACCCTTTACATTTCCTTAGTGCAGAGAGAGTTCTGACTCCATTAAAAGAAGTGATTTTACTTTTCTTCTGAGTCATTGCATATTCCTTTCCTCTACCCAGTTGAAGAGCTAGTTTGATCTGCTCTTTAAAAAATGCTTTCTTTTTTTTTTCTTCTTCTGTTTTATACTATGAATCTCTTTGGCTACAAGTTCTAGGCATAATTTCTGTGTAATAGAACAAGCCACAGTAAATACCCAGTCACACAGACTGCTAAAGCCATAAATCACAGGAAATAGCAAGTGTAAGAGATTAACATCGAAGCTGAAACCCAGTTTTCCTTGTACACTCCTCTGGAATTCTGTGATGACATACGCTTTCTTGAAGGAACATCTTGTGGTACCCGTGACACAGTGTGGTTAGGTTTAAGTATAAAATACATAGGCAATTAGGAGAAAAAACGTTTTTTTGAAAATAGGACCACAGACCTTGATGGTTCATGTGAAAGCATTTGGAAATTTCCATACTCTTCAAGAAAGAGAATATTGATGGAACAAAGGAGAATAATTATAAGAATATGAAGATAAATTATCAAGTACTGGGATTAATTCTCCTAATGCTAGAGAAAATCACCTCAAGCCAGTGAGAGAAAGAGACTGGATGATAACAGACACTATCATTTCATGGAAGATCCCACCAAGACTTTCTGAAAAACCAAGCGGAAAAAAAAAAAAAAAGCATGACCTTAGAGAGTTCCCACAGTACCCAACAAAGCTGTATCCTGTTTGACTCTCACTTTTCTGATCCTGGAGGTGAGTTTCACCTTGTGAAAATTCCTACAATGCCATTCTTGTACTGATAAATCATAAGACTTAACACTACATAACCTCGTTATCCACCTACTTGCTTGGGATCAAAGCAAGATAAATATTTCTTGACACAACCACATAAACAGTAAGCAAAGGAGTATTTCTTCCAACTTTTGAATGTCCAATTCCAAGGTTTGTTCTCTCCTGAATCCTGGTGGTACAACCTAAATATTTTGCCTGAATTTGGCATTGCAATTTCTATTGTCTTTTGTTTGCCCACAAATAGAATGTTTTCATGTAATTGTTATATTTCAGTAGGTAAATTATGTATTTAATATAGAGCTTAAAGTGTATGTATATAAAAATTATGCATAAAATATTCCACCTCATTTCTTAACTTAGATTTCTTCTCAGAAGCAGCAACTTTTAGTAGTTTTGCTCTTCTCTGAGAACAATTCTATGAATATCCAATCAAATTGTTTGTATAAAAACGCCTTTTAGAAAAAATAAAATGTTATATATACGGAAATGCCCCTTGTTTTTTTCACCTAAGATGATCTTGGAAATTGTAATCATTACCTAATAGAATGTCTCATTTATTTTAATAGCTAAATGATAATGCATTGTTTGAATGCATCATAACTTATTTTATGAGGTTATTAGATTGCTATTGGGGTAAATTCAGGATAAAACAACAGTTTAAAGTAGTAAAAGCCAAAGGTCGTCACTAAGAGTTTCCCTTGGGGCACAATTGATTTAGCATTTGCCACACCGTGACCAAGCCCTGATCTTCTGAAGCTAGAAGGGAGTCCCTGATAAAATGCATGATTTATTTGAAGCAAACCAAAACATACCTTTATAATTGGCCTTTTCAGACACATTTTTACTTTCTCACCTAGTCATATTTTCTTATGCTTTTCACTGAAAGCCATCCCTGCTAATTTTCACCGTCAGTATTTTTATTGTTAAATTTCAATTGTCAAATTCCATTTCCTTCTGTAAGATTCCCACCATGATCCCCGTAAACACAGAGGAGGAGGTGATTTTTTTCTCCATCAATTTCCTTTAGAGTCAGATTTGTAACATTGTGTCATTTTGAATTATGATTATATAGGTATTTGTGCATGCCTCATCTCCTTTGCCAGATTGCAATCCCACTGAAGTCTGTGATATAGAAAACAAAGGGCTATCATTCACAGGACGGTCAGAGAGCCTTGCGTATGTATTTGTGCATAATATGTGTTGCATAAATATATTCCTAACCTCTGAAGTGGGGTTAGTAACTTAATTCCACATTTTACCAGACCAAAATATTTGGACTATATTGATATGTTAATGCAGAATTTTAAGAATCTCCACAAATACAATAATCTGATGATTTATAAAAAGTATTTTGTATCTTCTTCAGTATTCTATAGTGTTTAATATACACATTTTGTTTTTCTAGAAGAAGAGCTGCATAACAAGTGAGTCTGCCCATTTGGGTCACAACCTCTGTAGGTCAAAACAAATTTTTTCCAAACAGCCATGGTCAAGAACTAATGATTTTTAAAACACCATAAAAAACAAAGGGCTACTTATTATTCACTACTATAAAACATCAGTCAGATTTTTCTTTCCTCACTACTCTTGGAGCACAAAGAAGCAATAAATTTTAAAGCAAACGTTGAATTATTTAAAATTATACTTCTCAAATATGTTCTGTACAAGGATAAAATTAATTTATTCTTATCTCCATTTTGGATTTGACCATGAATTCTTCTGAAAAAATAGCTGTAAGACTAAACTTTTTGGTAATTCTCTATAACAACACACCTGGGTTAGAACTGGCTACTACCTTCAGTCCTATGTATTTATGTGTACTTTGCTTTCACTATTAGAAACAATAGGCACCTAGAACAATCGTGAAATGACAAAAATGTGAGGTGTTCAATGAAGATACAGAGACTTAAAAACCTCTAGTAATGAATATAAAAAATCATTATAGCAGAAGTATAATATAGCATCAGTATAGCAGAAGTAAATAATGTAATTCACAATTAAAACAAAATTATATTTCACCAAATATTGGCCACATACACCCTTCTGTAGTTTAAGTCTATGTCTCTCTAGATATATGCCATCCAGTCTGTTCTTATAGTACTGGTATAACTGGGACAATTCAAAGTATCCAAAATAATTAGGAAAAGTTTACTCTTCCCAAACCTGAAATTTTAACTGTTGAGTGCATAATAATATATACTCGATGTATGCAAGGGAAACTCACCTTCTGTGTGTACGGCTGATACATAGGTCCAGTTGTACCTCTTCACTATGTCCACCATGGACCTTGCCTGCTGAGCATCTGAAGGCACAACCCTCATGAAATATTTGAACAGAGTCTTGTCACTCAGATCCATGATGGTTGCTGAGTAAGCAATCTGAGGTATGTTGAAAAGCTGGAGCAAATTCTGGACCTGAATGGCTACAGAACTGGAACCAGGCCCAATGACCCCTACTATGGGCTTCTTGGAGCAGAAGGAAGAGGAGGAGCCATCCACAGAGCACACCAAGCCCTCTTCCTCTTCCGAAGAAATGAGGGAATCTCTTATGAACTCAATGCTCTGCTCTAGGGCCACAGCCGAATGCCAGCAGGAATCCCTTATCTCACAGCCCAGTGTGATGTTGGGCAAGAGTGTGGGGTCTGAATTGATCCTTTCCAGGGTATGCAGCATGGCCTCCACTCTCTGAATGCCATACTGTTCACGGACTGCCCCACACTTCCTCTCATGAACTTCGTCCACAGTAGGCTGGTGATGAACAGAAAAGAGAGCTCCAATAATGATGTCACCCAGCATGTGAGCCACCACCCTCCTCTCACTGGACTGTGCACTCCCACGGACATCTTCTTTCAAAAGTAAGACTGACAGGATCAACAGAAGGACCGTTTTAGGACAGGAGTTCCAGCTAATAAAGATAGCATGGTGGGGAAAATTCAGGAGGGTTCTGATAGCTACGAACAAGCGATGTCCTGCGTTGAGTGGCAAATCAAGAAATTAGCCAGCAATTCAGATGTATTCTCTAAAGGACCATTGTGTCCCCATGTACCATTTAGTTAGATGATCCATGTGGTCATGATCTTCTAAACCTGAAAAAAAAAATAACATGGGTCTTTAACAAACATAAATGCAACTAGTTTGGGGAAGTTCTATAATCCATTATAGCAGAGAAAACATTTTGATGATGCAGATAACAAAGAAAAAATAATTCAAAAACGTTTCTGACTTTCCTTTGTCTGCTTCCTTTGTGATTTGATGAAGCAGCTGATGTAGCTTCTTGACCCTGCCTTGCTTAGATTAATAGTATTTTTTTGTTCACCTGCACTACATAAAACCAAATCTTGTGTGTGGCGGGCAGAACTGTATTGTACTCTCAGGCAGAGATGACAGAGCATCCTAGAAGCAAAACTACGCCATGAACAGAAAACTTCAAGAAGTATGCACCCCAGAATATTAAACATTGGTGATCTCTTGGTAATGAAAGTGTGGATAACTGTTGTTAAATTTTCATTAGGCTTTCCTTTTGAAATCTTTAGCCTTGAGCATGTAATTAATTATGCAATTACAAAAATAAAATTATCTTTTCAAAAATACCCCACATATCCTCTCTCCAAATACAATGTCAAGCAAGTTGAATAATCTTCTCAGGAATAAATAAGTATTGTCTAATTAATGTGGATGACATAACAAAAACAAATGAAGAAAGGTGGGTGTTTCATGTTAAATAAACTGTACAGAGTCTTGCAATACAATTCACAGTAATCAGTCCTCTAGCCCTGATCCAGAAAAAAATTCCACATCACTAAGGCTCAAAGGCTAAAAGGATGTATGTTTGGAACTATTCTGCCAGGTAGAAATTTAGTATAGCTATGAATGTCATCATCTATTTCAATTTAAATTCCTGGGAAGAAAGAAATGTTGTCCCAAATTTTCCATGGCAAATTCTAGCATAATTTGTAAAAGAGAACGGACAAATTAGTGATTTGATCACTTAGGGGAATTGTGTAAGAGACTTATTTTGTTATCAACTCTGCCAGCCAAGGATCTCAAATTATTTTAAAGTGACTAACTTTCTAAGCACCGACTTTCAAAAACAGGTGATGTTTCTTCAGGAATGTATGTAAATATCGCACTTTTACAAGAATACTAATGGTTTCAAAGGTCATCAAATCTACAAAAAGTTAAGTCCAGACACAAAATGAATGTAACTTGAATCATGTATCTAATCACTCCTACCATCATTTTCACTATTTCCTTCTACTGTTTCCTATGGCAACAGAGAAAGTCTTCCTATGTACAGTGACAAAAGCTAAACTTTTTAATATTTCATCAAATAACCAGATGTTCCAGAATAACTGGACATTTGTGAATATATAGAAAAAACTAGTTTTGGTACGAAAGTTGGCATTGTAGATACAGAGGAAGAAATGAAGACTGTTAGATTTTTCATTGGCAAGTCATTTGAATATTACCAAATCTTTCTTTCACTTTCCTTAGACCCAAGACCTAAAATAATTATTCTCATGGTCATGTGAATTCTGCTGCAGACAAAAAGAAATATCTAAAGTTAAAGAAAGCACAATTTCTTATTAAATAAGAATGTTAGCGGGTGAACAAATAACAAAACACGACTCATTTTTTATGTAAGAATATCAAAGTGATATGAGAGACCTGGTGTCCTGTCAGGCTCGTGTGGCTGAAATATCAATCCCATTCATTTTATTCATTTAAGTTGTTCTATGAAACCTCTACATATTGAGATACAGTATACATATTAAAACACTAAGATATTGCCTTTTGAAGTTATGCGAAGTTTGTTACTTATTTAACAAAAAATTATTAACTATTCAGTGAAAGAGACTAATGTATCAAAGAACTGTAATAATATACATTGGTAAGTATCATTATGATCTTTCATTGAGCACCTAACATGCCCCATCTATTCATTAACTCACTTAACAAATATTTATGGTATGTATATGCTATAATTCTGTCCTGGGCATTGAATATTCAAGCATGAGCAAAATATACAAGCTCCCTATACTTGTGGGCCTTACATATTGGTATTCTAAAGGGTAACTTTAGCTGAAACATGGTGAATACAAAGAAAAATAAAGATCAAATGGTATTTCTGTCTTTAGGTCTTTGAGGAATCACCACGCTGACTTCCACAATGATTGAACTAATTTATACTCCCACTGGAGAAATTCTATTCAACCCTGCAATCCCATTACTGGCTATATACCCAAAGGAATACAAATCATTCCATTATAAAGACACATGCACACATATGTTCATTGCAACATTACTCACAATAGCAAAAACATAAAATCAACCTAAATGCCCATCAGTGATAGACTGGATAAAGAAAATGTGGTACATATACACCATGGAATACTATACAGCCATAAAAAATGAGATCATGTCTTCTGCATGGGCATGGATGGAGCTGGAGGCCATTAACCTTAGCAAGTTAACACAGGGACAGAAAACCAAATACTGCACGTTCTCACATGTAAATCAGAGGTGAATGATGAGAACACATGTATACATAGTGGGGAACGACATACTCTGGGGCCTACTGGAGGGTGGGAGGAGACAGAGGATCAGGAAAAATAACTGGTGGATACTTGATTTCATACATGGGTGATGAAATAATACGTACAACAAATTCCCATGACACAAGTTTATGTAACAAACCTGCACATGTGCCCCTGAATTTTTAATTTTAAAGACTTAAAATTAAAGTTAAAAAAAGAAAAGATAGTCCCAGCTACTCGGGAGGCTGAAGCAGGAGAATGGCGTGAACCCGAGAGGCGGAGCTTGCAGTGAGCAGAGATCGTGCCACTGCACTCCAGCCTGGGCGGCAGAGAAAGACTCCGTCTCAAAAAAAAGAAAAAGAAAAATATACAGAAGAATGAAAAAAAGGCAGTCACATAAAAAATATGTCTACAACATGAAGAACATGGGAGGCATGATGATACAAGATGAAGATGGAAAGGCAATAAAGGTCCAGGCCATGTAGGACATTGTAGGCTCTTATAAAAATATTTTAATGTTGGCCAGGCGCGGTGGCTCACGCCTGTAATCCCAGCACTTTGGGAGGCCGAGGCGGGCAGTTCACTTGAGGTCAGGCTTTCAAGACCAGCCTGAACAACATGGTGAAACCCCGTCTCTACCAAAAACAGAAAAATTAGCTGGATGTTGTGGTGCACGCCTATAATCCCAGCTACTCAGGAGGCTGAGGCAGGAGAATCACTTGAACCTGGGAGGAGGAGGATGCAGTGAGCCAAGATTGTGCCACTGCACTCCAGCCTGGGTGAGAGAGTGAGACTCCGTCTCAAGAAAAAAAATAATAATAATAATGTTAATTACAACAGAAAGCCATTGAGGAGATTTAAGCAAATGACTGAAACAATTCAATCTTAGAAAGGATTATTCTGGCTGCTCATTTTCCTGGATAATCAATTGAAGAAATCTTATAAAGAAACCTGTAAAAATCTAGCAAGAAATGATGGTGACTTCTCTATGACTGGTGACAGTAGATATGGAGAAAAGTGGTCACAGTCAGATATATTTTCCAAGTTGAATCAACTGTACTTGCTGATAGACTAGATGTGAGTAGTAAGGTAGAGAGAGGAATCAGGGTCTACTCCTAGCTTCTAGTTTGAGAGCCTAGTGCATTTTGACAGCATTAATACAGATAGGATAGACTAGCACATAAACACGTGAGGGGCAGAAGAAAATTAATGATCTTCTTTTGAAAATGCAAAATTTGAGATGCCTTGGAGGCATCCAGGTAAAGATGTCAAACAGGAAAGTGAATATGTAAGGTTGGACTCAGGGGAGAGTTTTGGTTTAGACATGCAAATTGAGGATCATCAATATATAAAATATTTAGAATGCATGAAATCGCCTGGAGAGGAAGTATAAATATTGCAAAGGTGCAGCTAAAAAATAAGCTCTGCTGAGGGGCCAGATTTGGGAAAAGCCAGCTATGAAAAGGAGTCAACCCAAAAAGTAAGAAGATAAAGTGAGAGTAAATGATGTCATAGAGGGCAAAAAGGAATGTTTTAGGTACTTTATTTTTAAAGACATATGCAAGGCTTATATATTTCGGAGAAAAACGTATCTGATTCCCATGGAAGATACTATATTCCATGTACATTCTATACACTGAAGATTTCTGACACAATGGCTATGTCTTTGAGTGTGTCCGTATGTGTGGCATATGTATACCAAGAATCCTTATAACAACCCTAAAATATAGGTACAGGTTGAACAATCCCTACACAAAATGCTTAGGACCAAAATTCAGATTCAGAATCTTTCAGATTTTGGAAAAGTTACATTATACTTACTTACTTCTTGAGCGTTCCAAATCCTAAAATGTGAAATTGGAAATATTCCAATAAGAATTTCCTTTGAGTGTCAAATGGGTACTCAAATATGCTGCAATTTTGGAGCATTTCAGATTTTTAATTTTTGAATTTGGGATGTTTGAACTGTATTATTTTATTACCTTCATTTTACAAATGATGTAATGGGTTTTGATAAGTTAAAAACTAGCTGATCACTTAGAAAATAATGGAGCTAGAATTTATGTCTATGCCTGTTGACTTTATAACACATTGTTTTAACTATTCCTTGCTGCCTCACAGCCCCTTCCTACCAAAAAAAATGAAAGATACTGCTAATGTCCATGAAAACAAGAAGGGCCACCCAGACACAATTTGAACATCCAAGAGATATAGAATCTTACAGGAGTCGCCTTTCAAACTATACAGTAAAGAGCATTCCAGGGAAAAGATGATTCAGCTCATAGAGACACAGAAGGTACAGTGTGTAGGTTATCTAGTACAAGTGTATTTACATTGCCTGGATATCCACCCCAAATTATGGCTCATCAGATTATGCTTCATAATTAGCTATGAACTTAGATACCTGGAATATACTTTAAAAAAATATGACATAGGAATGCGAAAGAACTGTGCTATTACTCAGATTATTGTAAGGCTAAATAGAAAGTCATCTTATGTGCAATCAAAATACAAGAAATTCATAGAGTATAAATTCCAAATAGACCTGAAAGGAATACATCAAATCTATCAGCATCACTCATGTGTTTTCTATAAATGTTTGTTGAATAACACACCCTTCTATGCCCCAAGGATCCAGTTATGGACAAAATAGATATAAAGTCACATCATTATGGAGCCTATACTCGAAGAGGGTTTGCCAGACAAGAAACAAAATAAATATGTAAAATATTGTGTGCTACATGGTGGTGAGTGTCTACAAGCAAAAAAACAAAATGCAGTGAAGCAGTATAGAAAGTGCCAGAGATATAGGAAAGTTTGAGTAATGTGGCCAAAGGAACATAAACTGAAAAAATAACATTTGAGTAAATAGCTAAAAGAATTGAAAGGATTAAAGAATTAAAGGAATACAGAGTCATACAGATCTCTAGAAAAACAACATTCCAGGTAAAGGATAAAACAAATACAAAGCCCCTAAGACAGATTTAATGTTTAGTGTGCTGAGGAGTAGCAAACAGGCTCTTGAGGCTGTAGAAAAGTTAAAATGCAGAGAAAGGAAGACATGGAGAACAAGAGGTAATGTGGTGATGTTGAGCCTGTTTGGACTTTAAAAGGCTTTGGCTTTAACATTTCATGAGAACGTTTTTCTGAGAGGATTCCAACAGAGGAGGAACACATTCTACCTAAAATTTTAACAAGAATAAGGGCACGAAGGCAGAAAATGAGGAGCAATTAGGAAATTTGCACTAACTTAGGTGAGAGAGATGATAGTGGTTGGATTGGAGATACGGTAAGCACAAGTGGTGAGAACTGCTGGGATTCTGAATATATTTTGAAGGTAGAGTGAACAAATTGGCTATTAGAGCTGACTTGGGATGTTGGAGAAAGAGAAAAATCAATGAGGACGCCAAGATTTTCAGCCCGAACACAAAAAGGATGGAGTCGCATCGGCTGTGGTGGAGAATGCTGCGGCAAAGACATGGATAGAAACAACAAAACAACATAAGTTCAATTTTGATATATCAAGTTGCACATACTAGAAACTCAAGAAGAGATCATTGAATGAGCAGGCGGATGTAAGGGGCTGAATTCTGAAGAGAGGTCTGAACAGGAGATAAAATGAGGAAGGTGTGAGTATACAGAAGTCCTTTTTGTAAGCCGTGAAACTGGATTAAATCACTGAGGAAGTGAAAAGAGAAAAGAAACTAGTGCCAGAGATTGTGCCCCAGGGAATTCCAAGGTTCAATGGTAAGGAATAATCAGCAAAGGAGACTGAACGATTTTTTGAATAGAAACTTCCTTTTGTGAAGTGAGGAGAGAGAAGCAGTAAAATGTGAAGTATTCATGTTGTATCATGCAGAAATAAAGGGATGGTATGCTTTGATTTTCTCAAGAAATATTATGGATGGGTATGTATGCATACATAAAGACTGGAAACATATACATTGACATTAATAGAGTGTTCTCTGGATAGTAAAAATATAGTACTTTTGATTTTATTTCTTGTCTTCATCTGTGTTTTCTAAATTTATAAATATAGTAATACAACATATTTACTATTCATTATTATTTTTAATTTGGAACTGAGGGATATGCTTTCTAAATTTCTGCAGCTTTCTCCCTTGAGACCTTATCTCCCTCCATCCATTCCTCCTTGGGAGCCTATTAGTCGTTAGGCTCTTGTCCAAGTATACACTGTTTTATTCCAATGGCTTTGCACATGCTGCTTCTGATCCCTGATATGCAGTTGTTCCAATGGTCTTCATGGCAGAGTTGTTAAGAGCATGGGCTTGGAGTCCAATGACCTGAATTGGAATCCTGACACAGCCATTGATTGGCGGTGTGTCCTTAGGCATTTAGCCTCTCTGAGCCTCAAGCCTTTATTGGCAACTGGAGTGACAGCAGTACCTACCCCAAAGAGTTTTAGTGAGTACTGAATGAGCTAATATTTAAAAATAGTCCCTTCCTAAATTATTACCATATCCCTCACCTGGCAGTGTTTGCTCTATCCTCCAAGCTCACATGGCAGTTTTTTATTTATACTTTCTTATAGTATTCATTACCAAGCTAATATTGTAGGATGTTTAAGGAAAATAGCATCATAAAACTAGAGAGGGCCCTGGAGATGATTCCATTTAACTGAGATCCATGGAAAGCAAATGATTCATAGCAGACCTGGGACTTGAATTCAACAAAATGTCACTCAAAACACAATTTTAATCATAGTTTACAACTTGGTATCAGCTCTTATACAATTTTCTAAGCTTATAATATTTTATTTTTTTATTTAAATAAAATTTTAATATGAAATCTCTCTCATAATATATTTTTATTTTCCTTGTATAATATAAATATCTTTCATATCAGTTCATTTGGATGATGCGGACAATTATAACAACAATTAAAATATACAGAGGGCATATCATGTGTTGTTCACTTTGCTAAGTATCTCACATGAAATGACATTTAGTTGTCATACAAACTGTAAAATAAGTTATGTATGCACATTTTACAGAGAAAAGAACTGAGGCTCAGAGAGATACAGAGGCTTGGCCCAGATTCCCAAGCAAGTGGGTAGTAGCAGAGCCAAGAGTCACATTTAGAACATTTATTTAATTTTATCAGTTGCATGGCATTCAATTATATGTGTGTACCAATATTTAATTATTCCTTATTGTTAGATATTAAGGTTATTTATAGATTTGTCTTAATATCGTAAACAATGTTGCATTTTGCTTGCTTTTGAAAGTATCTTTGTAGCACAATTATTTAAAGATGATATTTCTGGCATAAATGTTTCTCATAGTTTACAATTGATGAATATAGAATATAAAAGATGATATCAACTTCACTCCAAGATCTGTCTCATTAACATCATCAATTCTGAGAACTATCCAATATTCTTTCTGTGAGGATCTACTCTCTCTTGCTTCTATATAAGTTCCTGAGTAAGGCCATTTCTCCTTGTGGTGAGATTTCTCCTGTGCAACGTCACCACAAGATCCATTCATTATTTTAACAAGTGTCTAGTAAAAGAAAAGATGAAGAAAAATACCATAATACTTTATTTTCAGCGTAAAGAGCCCTTTTTCATTCTTGATCTCACGTCTACCTAAAAATAATACTTCTAGAAATGTCTAAGAACATCAATTTCTTATATTAGGAAACAAAGTGTCAAGTAAAATAAATTATTTGCTTTAGGTTATAGCTTTTAGATGGTGGGGATAATATGTCAGTAGAAATAAAGGGGCAGGATTATCCTATAGATAATGGGGAGGCATTAATTCTTGTAATGATAAAAAAGCTTTTAAAATGTTATGATCTACACTCTAATAATATGGTGACATTTAATTCACTAAAAAGTGGGTAAATGTATTAATAGTTTGATTATATAGTATATTAGTTCAAGTATCTATTTTCAGAAGTATGTTTTACTCAGTGTTATATTTCTGGGTCCTTAGCATAGTAAATTAATTACTAGCACATTATAGAAAACAATATACATATTTTAAATACATACAAAAGTATTTCACATCAGGTAACCACACGTTCTCATATTATATCCTAAATGAATATGAAAAAGAGATATTAATGGATAAACTTTGCCATAAATTGCAATCTACACTATAGTCAGATTCACAGCTCACATTGTCCTTTATTTTCAACAATCCTCTAAAATACTGACCATCTTTCTGGCACAGATGTCTCTTATATAACTTAATCTCCACACAAGCAAATCACACAGCTCAGGACATAAACAGTAAAATGATTTCTTCTGCCTGATCAGTGGCCTCATCACAAACAGTCAGGGGTGTCAATATTGCATATGCCATCAACGCATCTGATATATTTTTCTGAAAACAAGTGCATACCATAGATAAGAGACAGTCTGAGGTGCAATGATACAGAGAACCCTGTAGTCTGAGGAAAGCTCCATTGTCATTACTATCTCAATCACACATTTGTGACCTTGTAAACAAGAAAATGCAGCATCCCCACTGTTTAGCCCCACAAAGTATAGGCCATATTTTAACTGAAACCCCCTCAACAAAAAAAGGCCCATAAAACACTATTGTACAAAGATGAAATCTGTAATTTTATCCATTAATTAAAAAGTTCTGGCAGTTCAATAGAGCTCACTAAATCATTGTAAATCATTGAAACAAGTGGTTTAGCAGTCTATGAAGACCTGGAACAGCCTTCTACAGCAAAGCAATAAACATGATGCAATCCACTGTTAACTAGTCTCAGTTTAATTATAAAGCAGGGATTTTAGACCTTTACCCATCCTGTAGCCTTCAGCTGATTTCTTGTTATTAAGGGTATACCTCTGAAGACTGTAAAGCATTATTTATATATTACATTACCTATCATTAAATGCTTGAGACTGTGGTTTTACATTTCTATAACTTGATCTCCACTTACTTATTAATACATAATATTTAAAAAGTGCCTTCTTTCTGTTAAATAATGTATAATAATTATTTAATGTAAGACTCACAATAACCCTGTAAGGTAGATATAATTACTACCTATCTTACTACCTCTAGAAATCGAAGTTTAGAAGTCAATAATCTTCTCCAAAGTATCAAACCTATAACAAATGGCAGAACCAGGACATGAATCCAACTATATTTGGCTCCAAAGCCCATACTTAATAAACAAATGATGAGGTCTCCCCACAAAAAACAAGTGAATTGGTTATTCAAACCTCATGCATTGATTGCAAAGCATTTTGGAGATTCTGCTTTCCATTAAATTCTTATGTAATGTACAAAAATTCATCAGAAAGCATACAAACAAATCAAGTAAATATAGGAAACTCTGTTTCCTAGCATCATTTAGATAAGGGTTTCTCAACCTGAGCACTATTGACATTTTGGAGTGGATAATCTTTTGTTGTGGGCGGATGTTGTCTGCGCACTGTTGGTTGTTTAGCAGCACCCCTGGCTTCTGTTCACTAGACGACAATGCCATCCCCTCCCAGCTCTGATAAACGAATATGTCCTCAGATATTAGCAAATGTCGCCTGTATGTCAAAGTCGCTTCCAGTTGAAAAACACTAATTTACATGAAAGTTAATCCTGGCAAGGTTGACATAATCACGAAAGAAGAGCATACCTAAGAGCCAATCATCTGGACCCATCAGTCTTACAAATTCTCTACCTGAAACTTCCAAATAATGCTAAGGAGAGACGGTTGAAATAGGCTTGCCCTACTCAATGTTTACATAGTTATTTGTCTGTATTATCTTGTTGAAAAGGTAGAAATTTCAATTTGAGAAAGACAAATTTAAGCTGTAAGAGTCAAGGTTGATATTACCTTACATTAAATACGCATAGTTCTAAGTATCACAAATTACAAAAAATGAATGTGAGGAGAGTATCCTACGATATACTTCCCAAATCAAAGGCTGTTTTTGATAGGAAATGCAAAGTTTATTGTAATTTTAACAAGACTACAACAATAACGATAACTTTATAAAGTAATTTACATGTTGATTTTTCATAATTTTATTTATTTTTAAACAAATGATATAAGCGTATTATTTACTTCTATGTCTTTGAATAATTCTACATTACTATGCATTTAGACAAATTGTTTTTTAAAAAAATTTTTGATTATTCTTCTGTAAAATATAATGAATGTAAGAAGGTTGCATTATTAAAGTGCTCACTATTATCACTGTGATTACAAGTTTTCATTTTCCTCAGAACATTTATACTCAAAATTTTAAAACCCATGGCCTGAACCAGGATTATTGTGAACAACTAATCATTAGAGAATTTTTCTTGAATCTGACATATTTGCAAGACCAATAGAATCATATATACATAAAATATATATTTTGCATCTAAGTCTTTCTTTTACACTTCTTCTACAGTCTGACTAAAAAAGGAGATATTTGAGATAGCAATTATGTATTATTTTGATTTCTGATTATCTTCAAGCATTTGCATGTTTATTTTTAAATATTCTTGAATATATGAGAAAAATAGATATTTGCATATTCCCTTGTAGAGGAAGGGCTGCTGACTCAAAATTAGTAGAATTCAAAAAAATTGATATATGTGTGTAAGCTGTAGGTCAGTATCATAAAAGTTTGGAAATCAGATGATCCTAGATTTAAATACCTGCTTTGTCACCTTTGTTTGTACTGTGGGACATTGGACAAGTTATTTAATCTATGTTAGTATTATGTTTTATCATTAAAGTCATAAAATAAAAATAAGACACAATCCACAGGGCAGTTAAACATTAAATGTAATACCATAGGAAACACAGAAAACTCGACATCCAAAGGCCTGGGTAGGATTGAGAGTTTATGCTCTGTTCACTATGGGTCAGATACTTTATTTTTTTAATTTATTTTTCTCTTTATGTCTTCTAAAAAACAACAGGATACATGTGCAGAATGTGCAGGTTTGTTACATATGTCTATGTGTGCCATGGTGGTTTTCTGCACCTATTGTTTTTTTTTAATTTGTGCAATTAATTCATCATATTCACTCCATGCCATGTACTGCTATAACCCATCCCCCAATTTGAAAATAGTGAAACTGAGGTACATAAATTTAAGTAACTTGCCTAAGGTCACACAAGTAGTAAGCCACAAAGCTGAGATTCAAACCCAGGCAATTTGAAGCCAGAGCTTGTACTTCCAATCATACCACAACTCACTGGAAACCACAATAAAATAATCCCATAATGTTTAGTGTTTAGCCACACCACAGAGTAAGGCAGCTCAATACAAAGGAAACCGGGTAAATTTTAGTGCCAAACAAATCAAATCTCTCTCTTTTGCATATGTATATATATGTATTTCCATTATTTTTGTCTTTTACATATATGGTAAAAGATATATACACACACACACACACACACACACACACACACATATATATGAATGAAATATATGTTTCCTTATTTTCAAAATAGGGGATGGGTTATAGCAGTACATGTTATTGAATAAGTATAATGAATTAATTGCACAAATAAAAATAAAGTGACCCACAGTGAACACTGCATAAACTATGCCCTGTTCTTTGACAGTAGAATAAAAAACTTAGTTTTTATAACTGAAAAGGAAAAACAAATAATGTCTTGTATTGTTGATATGAAAATTAAATAAAATAACATACCTACTGCTTAGCATGATGCCTGATGTGCTTAATAAATAGTAGTTATTAGAGCAGGGATGAGTCTGCACCAGGACGTTTGCCTGATGGCCCTTCTGACAAAAGTTATATACAGTTTAAAGATGATTCAGAAAGGTAAAATATAGATTTTCATCTCCTATGAATTTAAAGGAAATGAAAGCAAGCCTATGCTTTAATGTCTTTTAGAAACACATTTTAAACAACTAAGATAAAGGAATATCAAGATATTATCTGATTTACAAATAATTGAAAATTCAAAAGTGAAAATTGAAGTTTCTTTTCTTGGGTTATATAAATACATCCTGCACTAAAAATATTTCTTTTGATGCTCATGTCTTCTTATGTTCTCCTAAGCTTCACTCACTGACTAAAATGACTAGAATTAATATTTCTCTGAATATGAATATAACACATAACACGTATTTCTAAACTGCAGAATCTTCCTGCTTTGTAATAATACATCTTCAATATATCCAACCTCTAAACCAGCCAAATCAGCTTTATCATATAACATATATATATCTCAACATATATAAAAAGTAGTATCTAATATTTTATAAAGTTGGTTTATACATGATCTATCTATCTATATCGAGATACACAGAAAAGTACCTCACATGTACATATACATAATACAATAAGAATATATAAGAAAAAAATATTTGGTTATAGCTCTGTCTTCATCCCATGAGGATAGAAAACCTGGGATAAAATTGGTATACAAATAAATACAATATTTTTAATGATCAACCTCATCTCACATTTTCTACTTGTAGTACCACCTACCTTTTATTGACACTTAATTTAGTTTCTCTAACCAAAATTATCATTCTGTAAAAGACAATATAGTAAGACTCCTATAAAATATTAAATGGGTTTTGGAAAGAAATAAGAAAAGCAGAATTATTAAAATGCTTTAGTCACAAAAGTGAGCACCTTTGATGAGATAAGTCATTTTAACATGAAACACAACAATGTTAATAATCAGAGCCAAAATTAAAAATGGTATGTAGTTAATCAAGTATTCCCAAAGTCCGGATAGTTTGTGCTGGTTGGATATAATAGATATGAGTGAATTTTTCAATTTCCCCCTGGGTGTTTGTCATCATGTCCATAAGGTATACTATAAAGTGATAGTAAAGGCCTGTGTCTACCTATGGAAGTAAAGTGAGGAACTTGGATTATTCAAATACCAACTCCCTCTCCCAAATAATCTCGACATATCCTTTCATAAGTGAACATTGAAGAGTTTGGGCTTTTTGTGAGTGTGTAGCCCGCAACCAAAACATTCCCGTGTGATAGCACAAACCTCTAGGGGGTGCAATTAAAATATCTAGATTGTATATTTTGTCATGTGGAGTGTAAATGAGTAGGGAAAGCTTTTTCTCTTAAGAGAAGCTGTTATTTAGGAAGTGCTATGTACATTTTTCTCATAAGAAACTTGAAAGATCTGTCCAGAGTGCTGACAAGATTTCACGGGGAGAAGGCTGGAAATTTGATGGGACGCACACTACTAACCCAATGAGTTCAGGACGCAGTATTTTCAAGTCCTAAACCAATGGCATGTTTAAATGGAAATAAACATGCATAAAGGACAGAAATAGCCACAATTGATTCTTACATGTGTGATTACATTGAGGTAACTGAGAAATTAAAGGAGGAAACTCCCTGCACTCCATAAAGAAAACAGCAAAAAGCACACCTAACAAGAGGTAGCATACCTGAACACTCCACAGCTGACAGTAGAATGTCATGCAACTAAGACGTCCACAGAAAACCCCTGCTTATGTCCCACTGGAGGAAGGGCTGCACGTAGTCCTGGTCAATGCACCTTTGGCTGCTTCAAACGGCCAGTGCCCAGGATTAGAGACAGAAATTAGCTCTAGCTTTGTCCAGAGAAACTCTGAACAATAAAATACCATGTAGCGAATGGAGAAGAAGGTGAAAAGGAGAAGCTGCCTTCTCACTGGTCTGTATCAATTTCCTATTGAAAAAGTAAAGTATTGGAGACCCTATCTCCCTGGTTACTCGACGTTACAGTCCAGCTAAGGCAGCATCAAGATTGTGTCTAAATAAGCACAAGCGCTTGTTATCCTCTCCTAAATTTCCTTTCCACACAGCAACTCCTCTGAAAGGAAATGAGGGCAGCTGTAAATTCGAGTACCAGGTGAAAGAGCCCTCCAGGTGGACCTGTCACTTCCCTGGAGAGGTCCTAATGCACGTTGGGCTCGGGCCACCGGCCAGCCTCGGCACTCATGGGCCTGCCCTGGGTTTTCTTCCCTAAGTCGCTGTAGCCAGGGCTTCCTCCTTGGCATGCCGCTCATGCTTCCGCCGTGGGATAACTAGCAGGCTTTGTGTTCGAGGGGAAAGATAAATCCATGGAAGAGGAAAGAGCGGGAGGGCTCAGGCTGGTGTTCAAAGAGAGGCAATATAGCCTGAGTGAAAGAGATGTGCTTTCAGCACCACCCGCTGTCCCCCCTCTTCCTGCAGCAGGCGCCACGAAGCGGCCCCTAACCGATCTATTGAAAAGCAATTCTCCGTCCTCTTTTCCTCTCCACCTTTGCTTCTCACAATTCCGAGCCCTCGGGTGGTTTGCGGGAGCACACTCTGCATTCGAAACCACGCGCACCTGGCCTTAGAGAGCGGGAACTCGGATGCGAAGGCATGCAGAATCTCCTTTTCAACCCTTGCAGCTCTTCCCTCCTTCACCCCGTTGCTCGCGCCTTTTTCCCCAACAGGTTTAATTAAGGCTGTTCGCAAATGGAACAGACTTGAATCTTGTCGGCTTTGGCCACCCCTGCTCCACCCGCGTCCCCCTCCCCCAAACCAAACTGTTGAGCTACTCAGCAAGCCTATAGATCCTAAATCCTTCTCTGGCCAGGGGACACTTGGGCACACAGACACTTAGCAAGCTTACCCCCCTGTTGGCTGCGCAGCAAGCAGTGAGACTCGGTCTAGCTAGCCCCCCGAAAAGTTGGGCCACGGGGATCAGCAGGGCAGAGCCGGCCTCTCCAGTCCCCGGCTTCCCCCCCAAGATGATCTCAAGCTCATCCCCTCCGCTCAGCGTGCTCAGAACAGCCGAGCTGAGGGCGGCGTGTGCAGCAATCTCCCCGCTACTGAGAAAGGGGGGATGGGGGGAAGGGGAGAGAGCGGAGGAGGGAGGGGTGGTAGTTTGTATTTATAGAGAACACAGTTCTTTGCGCAACTTTTTGGTGCCACCAAGTGGCACAGTGAGTTCCTTTAGGAACATAGACTTCTGGGTGAATCTGGATGGGTAGACCAGCTCTGCAAACAGATGCTCACATGGCAAGGAAGTTGGAGGCACTCCCAGGTCTTAGTTTTCACATATTTACCGTCATATCTCAGCACCTGGGATACAAATCCCTAAATTCTAAGAATAAACCTGTATTAAGTGAGAAAGGGCACCTGTGCCTTCCTCAGACAGGTGGAAAGAGTGTCAAGGACATGGTAGGTCCCAGTTGTCTCCTAGGAGTGTAGACATCCTTGTCTCAGGAGGAATATCCATGATCTTCTTCTTCCTAACCCCTCTGCCCAGATTACATTGCATTTATGTTTTACTCTAAAACCTTCTTCTTGCTGCCCTGACTACCTAATCTTTAAACTGGATTGGCACTTATTTTCCTTGCCACCAAACCTTCTTCGTCAATGCTAACCTTAAAAATAGCATATGACTTGTTCACAACGTGCAGGTTTGTACCCTAGAACTTAAAGTATAATAAAAATAAATAAATAATAAAACACTAAAAAAATAGCATATGACTTTAGGCTCTCTGGATCTGAACATTTCTAAACAGCTCTCAGAACTCCAAGTTCACTGCACTACAGGCTGGAGGTTGGATTTTCCTCACTCATTTCCACAGACCTCTCAGCATGCATTATCCCAACAGCACAGTCAGGATCTTGCCAACTGCCTTCAGTACTTTGAGGAAGAATCCCCTGAAGCTTCCTTTATCCATATTTTATGAGTGTTCTTACTTCTTAGTATGCAGATCTTGAAACACATACATAGACACTACGGCATGGGACCTTCGTGTCCCCAAATGCAGAAGATCCTCTACATTGTTCAATAGAGAAACTGAGTACATGAAGGTTAAGGGGCTTGTTCAAGGTCATGTTTCTCTAGAGATCTGCCCAGGAACTACCTAGGGTAGAAATGAATGAACGCAGTGATGCCAAACCCGATCACCCTGTTCTTGTTCCTTCTACTACCCCACTCAGCCTATTCAGTCATATTCAGCTCCCTTCTCTTTCCTGTATTCATTTCTTTCATATTCTCTCTCTCTCTCTCTCTCTCTCTCTCTGTGTGTGTGTGTGTGTGTGTGTGTGTGTGTGTGTGTGTGAGAGAGAGAGAGAGAGAGATTATTTTTGCCAAAGTTCCATAAAGGAACCAAGAGTAAACATGTCTTCCTAGCTCCACTGGGAGTATATGAACTTGAGTTTATAGGTCCAGAGTTGCAGGTGTACCATCTTTACATGACCCACAGTTCCAGAAAACCTCTCCCTCCTAGTACTATAGTCCTTTTAGAAATGGAACACTGAAATTTACACCCAATCGGGTCCCTTCTTTGCTGCCTCTTTTTGGGGTGAAACACCAGCAACTGCTCTTATTAGCTCCCCCAAACACCTAATGGGCTCAAAGATAGAGGAGCCCATCTCCCTTCCTAAATCCTTGCCTTTCGTGCACATGTATTGGCATGACACACACACACACACACACACACACACACACACACACACACAGAGGAAGAGAGAGAGACACACACAGAGAGAGAAAGATCCAAACGTATCCTTTGGCTCGGATCTTTATTTTTTCCACCTCTGAGTTTTTTTTTTTTAGTTCGTTTTCTATGGAAACAAGCCCACTTAAATCCCTCACTTATGCAAATAAAAGCAAAATGATCTTCATAAACCTCCCATTGGAGCGATACCGCGGTAGCCCAGGCTCCTGACTTAAATTTATGTCTGATTCACACAGCACATGTCCTTGCAGGGTGACTTTTCTAAACTTGCAGGACCTCGTAGCGTTCCTGGCTCTACCAGCCCTCCACCTGCTCACCACTTGCCCTCCTGGGTCTTTTTAGCCCCAGCTGCCGCCCTTTGCTTGATCGCTCTCCATCCCTGCACTGGGGGAGGGGCTCCAGTGGTATCCTATATTCGTGGTAACTACAGACAAGAGAAAGAAAAAGGCGCTGCGCTTACCAGGTGTGCGCCCTGAGCCTTGCGCCCCCAGGCAGCCGCTCCTCGAGGGCTTCCTGCGCTTTCGTAGCGGCCTTGGCTGCAGCTGGAGCGCTAGTGTC
This sequence comes from Homo sapiens, assembly GCF_000001405.40. Classification (NCBI taxonomy): domain Eukaryota; kingdom Metazoa; phylum Chordata; class Mammalia; order Primates; family Hominidae; genus Homo; species Homo sapiens. The sequence goes on along the minus strand of NC_000011.10, from coordinate 49,558,617 downwards.
GGCGATGGAGGCAGCGGTGACAGCAGGCAGAACGGCTGCGGGGCCCGCGGCGGTGGCGCTCGCTCTCTCGCGCCAGTGCCGGGAGCACGTGCCGCGCTTGGGCAGACGCAGCTGGAAGCGCAGAGCAGGGCTGGCTTATACTCCTGCAGCGCGCGGCGGGGGTTGGCAGAACGGCCAGGGCATAGACTCAGTGGGTGAATAAGGGTCTTAAAGCCTCGTCGTTTCGGGGTTCAGGCGAGGGTAGCCTTGGTCTCCCTCTCCTGCTCCTCACATTCCCTCTGGGAGCCATGGGAGGAGGAAAGCTGTGCGGAGGAGGCGTGGGTGGTGTGTCACTCAGAGAGAAGCTGGGGAGCAGGTAGATAATAAGGTTCTTTTTGACTATGGCACTTAAACCCCTGACAATGATTGGGAGAAGGGGCGTCACTGCTGGAGGGTACAGAAAGCTAGGAAGTCAGGGAAGCCCGAGATGATTCAGAGGTGTGACTGGTTAGAAAGAACGGCCTCTAATGATGTTACTTATTAACAATACCATTTTGCATTTTCTGCACTTCTTACAAACGATTCTTCCTACATCCGTTAAAATTTATTCTTCGTTGGCAGTTGAATGTCTTTACTTTCTCAAATGACTTTGCTTCCCTTCCTTCACCACCCCCATAACTGCCCAGGATTGTCAGCTATGCTGAGGTAATCTTTAAATACAAAAACAGACTTCGTTTCTGCCTCTGAAAAGGAGATTGGTATAAATTACTTGCATGGCTTAATTTAAAGAAAAGAAAGACATTGCAGCAATATGATTATTATTCCCGTTGTATTTCCCTAGCTGAATTTTGGGAACCAGGTGCTTTCAGCAGCTGGATCAAAGATGAAAAGATGAGTGCACTAAAGTCAAGGGGATTGATGCTGATGCATTCATTACTAATGCTCATTAGATTTTCCACCAGACCCTTGTCAATAAGGTAAGTTATTGTTTGATAGCTTCAGGATTTAACAACAAGAAAAAGAGATCTATCTACCACACCTTGTTGAGTTTTACAATGGCATCTTTCTTCTTGCATTTTCACGTCTACTGATGGGATCATTGTTACTTTTTGTATTTCTTTGACTGCAATTCACAAAACAAGTTTTAGTACTTTGGAGAGAGGCCAGGAAAGCTGTGAGTGAGCTTCCTTAATTAAAAAAGAAAGAAAGAAAGAAAGATGGCATAGATGAGAAAATAGAAAGATGGCATAGGTGAGAAAATACAAAAAATAGTGAGTTCGCAAGAAAATGGAGGGTGACATGACTAGATGACTCTGGTGATGTGATTAAGTCTGATGAATACAGTGATTTGTTTATCCAATTTTCTGAGGCATTAACAATAAAGATAAGGTCAAATTTGGGTTTTTGTATGAGACATTTAGCTTTGAGTGAGCATAGAGCACTCCAAGCTCCCAGTTTTTCTCCATCAGCTGGAGCTGGATCAAAATACATTAGTGAATGAGAAAGAAGTGAATGTTGTGTAGTGAATGTTGTCCACTCAGTCACTTAAACTTTTCAATTTCCTACACATATTTCCTTCTCTCCTGTCTTCCAGTGTTATGACGAGAGTGGGATGACATAAGACATGTCAAAGCATGTCAAAAAATGACAAAGCACTCCGTAAATGTAATACCTGCTTACCAATACATATCGACTTCCTATGCTCTAAAGGCTAAAATGTGAAGGACATTCTCCATGTTGAACAATAGTTAAATTTTCAGATGAGAAGTAAAACGTGATTATATAATCTTAAAATTGCTCAGTGACATTTTAAAATATAGCTTCATCTCATAATTGTAAAGTGCTGAATTAGGCAAAATTAAAATTAAAAGGGATATAGAAACAATGTTTTACATTCCAATAGTAAGTTCTGATTATAAATTGCTCAAGGGTATAACTTTTGCCTTAGGATGAGCTATTAATGAACAAAATATTTTAATTCCTATGTAGAACAGTAGAAAAAAAGAATGGAAAACACAGTCATTCTCAGAATTGATCAAGCTTAAAACTTGAAATCTCCATTCATTTCTGTCCTTATATGTGAGAATTTGTCATGAAATCCTGTTAGCTCTGCCTTTCAAATATATCCTAGAATCTTACCACTTCTAACCACCTTCACAGAGAACCTGTTGAATCCATCAACTATCATCTTTTACCTGCCTCACAGGAATAAATTCCAAACTAGTACAGGCTACATTCAGCACAGCATCCAGAGTGATCTTTTAAAGAATTTATCTTAAATCAAATCTCTCCAGTACCTTCTGATTTCACTGAGTAAAAGCCTAAGTCCTCTCAATAAATATTTGGAATATTTAAATGAATATTTATGAAAATAGAGGTACACCTGTTATATGCTGCCCTTCATTGTACAAGTTGGCAACACTGATGGTAAATCATGTGAATGTTTGCAGGAGGTCTGAAAGACTACTGAGTGACAGCACCTTTTCCAAATATGGGCACACTTACCTACTTCTTAAATTGTGTTTTTGCATTTGTGATTCTCAGACTTAGCTAGCTCATGTTCTAGACTTCAAGGGGGTTATATAAATTCTAAATGTTTTGCAAGTATGTGGTTATCTGAGCTCATTAAATAAAAGGTTATAAGTGGCTTAAAAATTTTTGAATGTTTTTATCAATTTAATGAACACTCGTTAAACATTTATTATTGCTATATTTTTTTGCCAGTTACTGTACAAAACACTATAATAGAATGATACACAAAATATTAACATATACTTACTTGGCCTTAGAAAACTTAAAGTTATTACATATATGTGTGTGAGTGCATATGTGTTTAAATTTATTCATTCATACCATTTATTAAATATTTATTAAACTATCATGTACCAGGAATGGCTAGGTGTTGGGGATAAAATGATGGATGAAATAGAATTCGTCTCCTGTCCTGTGAGGCTTAAAGTAAGGAACACATGAATAAACTAACTGATGTGTCACAATTTATGGGAAATAAAATGAAGAACAAGGTACAGTTATAAAGAATAGCAGGGCATGAGGAGGGGGCCTGGTATCTTGTTTTAATTGAACATTAAAAATAACTCTAAGACAAATATTAAATCAAGACCTAAAAAAGTGTATTATTATGCAAAAAAATGTGACATATGTCTATGTTTCTGTCTGAGTTAAGAGATGTGATCAACAAGGGGTGGCTGATCAAAGAGTGGGAAGAAAATTAAGGGGGTTTACAGGCAGAGGGAACAATATATGGAACTCTGAGGCAGAACAACATTTGCTGTGCTTTAGAAACTGAAAAGACAGTGGGGTAGATGAAGTAGAGCTTGACAAACCTTAACTGTAGCTCAGCTTGTTCAACTCCCAAATGAAGGTAATTTTATCTAATTTTATTTACTAAATTTAATCTGGCAACTTTCTAGATGTGAATGAGTCAATTAAATATGTTATTAAGAATGGAAAATGAAAGCCATGCAGAAAAAGGAAATGACAAATACTCCTATCATATTGACTAAGTGCTTTACCAGAAAATATTTAGTTACATCATTATCTAATATAAGAAATTTAGTCTGTTCATAGAAAGAATTTTATTCTTGCTGCTGTTACTAAATACTAGTACTATTATATAGACCCTTATATACATGGTCCCTAAAAACTCAGTGTCTTCAGCAGGGATTTTATAGCAAAAATAGGAACCTTTTTTATATTACGCACTCTTATATAAAACTTCAATTTAAGATCTAGACAAACCATGGAAATTTAATTCAAAGAAGTTGTTATTTATGAATCTATGTTTATTCATCTCTCTATTCTTCAGGGAGGACAGACCTATAAATATAGCCCTGTGAATTAATTTTTGTTATGATACTTGGTAAAAAATACAGTAAGAAAAGTATTTAGTCTTTTAGTGCTTTGGAACTGCAACTCCTTTAGACAGTGTTTTCCAAGATGAAGTCCTCTGTCCAAGCAGACTCTTGGCACATGTATGGCAAACACAGAGATATTCATCTTCACTCTGGGTGCACAAAATATAGTGTGTGCGTGTGTATGTGTAACTGTCTCATCACAAGGGGCAAAGGACTTCCTTTATATCCCAGGTGAAGACACAGAGCACTCATCCAAGGGTGAGGCAGAATGTACACTGGATTTCAGTCCTAACTGATTGCATTTGGAAACTGAATTTTGGCTCTTTCTTGAATAGGGGACTTGGACAAGCTGCTGAACCTTGGAACCTCCTTTCCTTATCTGGAAATGGGAAAATCAAAAAGGTAATGTAAAAAATACCTAACTTTCTTTGTTATACATAAAGTCACTCTGGAAATCAAAAGTGCTATAAAGTCTCAGCAAATCGTGGTCCTTTTTTCCCTCACATTTCCTCACAATATGACTCTCTTTGTTCCAGTACAATGTGATGTATAGGCAAGAATTTGAATAACGGTGTTGGATTACTAGGAAGGGTCATATATAACAAAAGAAAATCCTTTTCTAAATTCTGTTTTTATGTTAACAGGAAATTTCTTGTTTTGTTTTTTTCTGTAAAATGTGAATAATAGTACCTATGTAGAGGTTGCTAAGATAAACAATAATGGATGTGAAGCAATTGTACAGTCCTTGAAATGTGGCAAGTACAGGGTATTTGGTGGTAATGATGATGATGATGGGAATGAGGATTAGTTTATTTTAATTTCCAGTTATTTACATCCCACATTAGCATGACCAAGACACTAAACATAGCCTGGGACATAAAGTCCACTTTTTAAGATACTCGGAAATTTGAAAACTACTTTCTAGTCTAGTAGAGCTCATCTCTTTGTAAATATATTTAAATTATAAGACCAGGTCTTGTAGTAATTCTTCATCAATACTTTTGGCAAAGATAGTAAAATTTTTCACTTACAATAAAAAATAGGTTAAGTAAAATGGCAGCAGTATTCTGAAATGCATGTAAATGACCAAGTAAGGGTATACAGAAGTTTTTGTCCTTCCAACCAGAACCTCAGACTCATTGCTCAATAGAATTGCTGGGAATGTTTCACTATATATACAAAAGACAATTATGCTCTTAATGGCTTAGATATAGCTGTTGCAAGTATTTATAATACATTTAGTCTTGAGGACTCTAAGCCACCTGAAATCTAACATTATGTTTAACACACTGTAACTCTAGTGATTTGGGAAATTTATGTTGTTTTTCAGTGTTACATTTCCTAGAAGCAATTAATTGAGCTAAAGCCAGTAATTATTTTAAATTATGTAGTAAGCAATGAAAGCCAGAATTTCGAAAATTGATGAGGTGAGAGCTTATTTATGTTACTAAATATTTGCTTTTTATACCTCTTTAAGATTAAGTAAGAATGTTGAGCTGGGCTAGACACACAGATCTATCAGAAACATTGATGGATAGATCGAGAGCCCATGTGCTTGTTGAAGCAGTAAATCATTCAGTTCTCTTTCTTAGTGTTTTTGTCTGTAAAATGGGAAAAAATGCTAGTTCTGTAGCTTATTAACTTATTGGGAAGACTAAATTAGTTACACTTGCAAAGTTCAGAGCTTGGTACATGGTGAGCATTTAACACACTGTAGCACATGAGTAAAAGCATGATCTCTGAAGCCAATCTGCATGGATTTGACACTTGGCTGTGTTGCTTACTAGTTGTGTATTGACTATTTAAGCTTTCTGTACCTTAGTTTATTTATTTATAAGTAGAGAGAAAGATTAGTGACGACTACTTCATAAAGCCATTGTTAGTATTAACTTGTTAACTCCTGCTAAGCCATCAGAACAGTGCCTTGTAATCATACAATGTTAGTTATTATTAGCTTATAATAATTTAGTAAGCACTTTAGATCCAGGCATCATTCAACTTAAATGTGTCCTTTAATGAAATTGAACCTGATAATTCAAGTCCCAGGAACTAGGAAACACTGGGCTTTCTAAACGTTATATTGGAATGAATATCTTCAGAATATTCAGAAAGAGTAGAAGTTCTCACTAATCTCTAATTCCCCTTTTTCCCTTTTATCATGACTCTTTATTGTTTTGAAAGACATTTAATATTAATCTCCTTTTTTTCCCTCTAATGAATGCATGTTTACCCTTCAAGATTAACTCCAGTGAAACACTGCCTGCCCAACTCCCTTGAAAGACTGGACACCATGTCTTTCAGCTACCATAAAACTTTGCTAAAAAGCCCTAGCATGTCATATTATATGGCGATTATTCATTAGGTTTCTGCCTCATCAGGTTGCCTTATATAATGCAAACTCTTCTTAGGCATTTTATTTTATGCATTCTCTGTACTGGCTATTGTGTCTAGCATGTAGTGGTTACCAAACACACTTTTAACAAATAAATTAATGTGTTCTAGCAATTAATCCAGATTTTCACAAGCTAGATTCTAAAGTAGCATAAACTAGTTCAGATACATAGACTTTTTAGTGCAAGGATTCTGAACTTTGGCTACATGTTAGAATCACGTGGGAGATCTTTTAAAACCACTGACTTACTTGATAGCAGGTGAGGCCTCAAGGAATGTTTAAAAAGTTTCACAGATGGTGCTAATGTACTGCCAAGATTCAGAACCACTCTTCAGTCTTTTTTACATCCTTTGTATTTATTTTAAATTAATTTGGTACAAATGACATAGACATGAGTGTAGGTGACATTTTATCAAGTAAAGCACAATTTGTCAACATGAGAATTAATGCCCTGTTTACCCCTTCTGAGAATGAGAATTTTTTTCCCAATGGATACCCCCATTTCAGATTTGTAAAAATTTTAAGGCATACTTTATGTCAAAAATAGACATATCTCTCAAATATTCTTCGTATCAACTATGGGAAGTAACTGATGAGACCCAAAGAGGTGAAGTTGTTAGCACTTACCATATTTTTTTTAAGAGGCAGGTTCTCATTCTGTTGCTTAGGCTATGCAGTGGCAATCACAGCTCACTGTAACCTCAAACTCCTGGGGTTAAGAAATCCTCCTGTCTCAGCCTCTCCAGTAGCTAGGACTACATATGTGAATCCCCACACCTGGCTAATTTTATTTATTTTTTTGTAGCGATGGTGTCTTGCTATGTTGCCCACGCTGTTCTTGAACGCTTGACCTCAAGTGATTCTCCTACCACAGCCTCCCAAAATGCTGAGATTACAGATATGAGGCACCACACCCTGCCTACCATACAATTTTAAAATAGCAACTCCAATATGTAAAATCATATCCTAGAACCCCAAACTTGTGCTATTTCCAGTTATCTTATGCTGCATCCTAACTCTGTAAACACTCTTCCCCATTGACTCTTAAACTGTGTAAATCTTGAATATTGACATACTTAATTCACATATACCAGAATAAAATATTTGTTATAAAATCTCAAGTAGACATTACAGCATTTCTAGAAAAATTTTAAAAAGAAAAGTCATATTAGCAATTCATGATATAAAAATATATAGGGAATTAAAATGTTCAAAATATTACAAGATAATTTATTCAATATTTGATGCAAAAACAAATAGGATGACAAATATTTATTGTCCAGTAAATTCAAAATTAAGTGAATTTTTTTTGCGTTTTGTTTTCAACTGTTAATATATATATGTACTTCTGTGCATCCATGTACTTCTTAAGCAAATATTAATTGAGCAGTTGTTATGTGCTATGTATAGAGGTTACAAAGAGCAATAACCTCAAGGTTCTGAAAGTCTAGTTGCATATACGTTATACGCAAAATCCTAGCTTTTAATTGTTTTACTTGAAATTGTTTTCTAAATTATTTCCTATATTTGTAAATACAGTGGCTAATGATGATTTTCAACTACACATTTTTCGATTTTATTCATATATAACTATATAAGGATATCCTCAAGCAAGTGTTAAAATTTTAAAAAATTACATTTAAGCTCATAACTATTTATGAGTTTACTCTGAACTACCTAGAATATTTAAGCAATCCATTTTCCAATTATTGCTCACACTTCTATTTTTAATACAGTGTATTGTTTTCCCCACTTCTTAGTAATATTTTGAGTGTAGAAAAGCCAAGAGATTTGTAGGCTTATCTGTAGATCATAGAACGCTAGAAGGGAATGTGTCTGGAACTCTCTACTAGCCAAGTCATCCTGTGAATTGAACTGACAGTGCTTTATTTCTAAAGAATGACAATAACTAGGTTGCTATAAAAAACCTTTCTGAATGTGATTTTGAGAGAGGGTGTATATTATGTCATTTCCAGAGAAATGACCAGAGGCCTAGGTCAATTGACTGAGGTCGGTAATGGTGGTAGCCCCCATCCACTATGGTGAGTTCTCTATTAGGGCTATTACCCGCTTGCTACCTCTAACATTAATTAGTCTGGCAGACCACCTCAAAGGAAAAATTAGAAGCAATATACCTGTCCTTTTCCCTGAAAACTAATAGATGGCCTCCCTCCATCCTACATCCTCCAAAGACCAAGTGGTTAAATGTATTTTTGTTAATATAAACAAACAAACAAAAAAACCCTTCTAACTTTTTTCTCTCATTAACACTGGTTTCTGCACATATCCAGAAGCTGACCACTGTTACTATGAATGGAAATCTTTAGACAGTATTTCATAAGCATCTCCATTGTATGCAAACAGTGACAGAATACTACAATATTTTAGGTCAAGAAATATGAAATTTCAAAAATTAAATAAATACAAATTAAAAAATAAGAAATTGGAAAAATAAAAAAGGAAAAGCCAAGAAAGTTTTCTGTCATCTCCTTTCTTTTTGCATGTCACATTGTCACTCAAAACAATGAAGAACAATGGCAGGAAAAGAAGAAAGAGGAGAAAAAGACATTTAAATAGGAGATACGGAAGAAAGGGAGGGAGGGAGGAAAGAAGAAAAAGAGAGAGTGTGAGAATAAAGTGTGTGAAGAAGACAGGAAGGAAGGTAAGAAGGAAGAAGAAGAAAAAACAAATGTCACAGAGAATTACGCAGAAATTTAAAAATCCAAGGGCTATGTAATCTAAAATAAACCTCAGAATTTATAAAGAAGTTATCATCAAATGAGGATTAAAATTTATGTCAAATTTCCAAATTTAAGACTGAGAGTCTCACCTCAAGCCCTCTCTTCTGATCTCTTGATGTTCCATGGACTCATGTCTTGTTTCCATAGTGACCGTTTTCATGAGCCTTTTAAATAAGAAAAATTGATTTTCTCTCAACACTTGTTTTCAGAATCTTTCCTCCATTCCTGAAGCAATCCAAAGAAAATTGTCTTCAACTTAAATGCCTTTAAGTTAGGTATAAACTATCAATGGCGCATTAGAAGGAAGAGAAATGAACAAGAGGTATTGAGCACCATAAATTAAATATTTAGAGATATATAGATAGAATAATATAGCCTTGTATTTATTCCTGAGTAAATGGTTATAAACTTAGATTTCCATCTTTCATGGAAACATGGACTCTGTAAACCAATCGAGAGCTAGCAAGTAAACAGAAACGTATTTGGAGCGTAAGTTTTGCTATTGGGGGATAAGTTAATAACCAATAACTGCTTTTTATTTTTATATGCAACAAAGTCTAAATATTACTCTCCTTCATTAAATAAACTGAAAAATACAGTTCAGAAAGCTCCCTAGAAACCTTGGCCTATTCAACCAGAAACATGTGCTATCTAAATGTGAGCATTCAATTTTGTCAGATCCATAATTATTAGTTCAAAATTTTAACTTTATTATTTTTCTATTTGATCATTATATATCTTGTATCACAGTAATCAATTTCCAATTAGCAAAAGTAAATAATACATTGAATTAATGTATAACAGTAAACACTAGTGGCTTCCTGATATAAGCTTAATAATCTCCACCTCACTCATATATCTTGACAAATTCTCTTCCTTAAAGTATGCATCAGGTCGATTTTGTCCCAAAGTCCCACAAATTTCTATAATCACACAGTTTCACAGTATATAGTCATTTACTATTTATTTTAATGATCTCATTTTATTTCTATGAACATACGGCCAATTTTATCTTTATGAAATTTCATTTTTTTCTATCATGTCACCATCTCTGCTTAGAACATGTCTGCCACATTTTAGCCACTTAATAAATATTTACTCAATGAATACATGAATTGACATCCTTAAAGTTGCCTTTCATTTACTTCAATAACCCATTAATTCATGAGAAAAAAATTGAAATGAAGACCTATTCAGATTTATGGTTAAAAAAAATTAACAGCAGAGACTAGGATTGCAACCCTGCTTTTTTTTTGTTTTGTTTTCCATTTGCTTGGTAGATCTTCCTCCATCCCTTTATTTTGAGCCTATGTGTGTCTCAGCACATGAGATGGGTCACCTGAATACAGCATACTGATGGGTCTTGACTCTTTATCCAATTTGCCAATCTGTGTCTTTTAATTGGAGCATTTAGTCCATTTACATTTAAGGTTAATATTGTTATGTGTGAATTTCATCCTGTCATTATGATGTTAGCTGGTTATTTTGCTCGTTAGTTGATACAGTTTTTCCTAGCATCGATGGTCTTTACAATTTGGCATGTTTTTGCAGTGGCTGGTACCGGTTGTTCCTTTCCATGTTTAGTGCTTCCTTCAGGAGCTCTTGTAAGGGAGGCCTGGTGGTGACAAAATCTCTCAGCATTTGCTTGTCTGTAAAGGATTTTATTTCTCCTTCACTTATGAAGCTTAGTTTGGCTAGATATGAAATTCTGGGTTGAAAATTCTTTTCTTTAAGAAGGTTGAATATTCGCCCCCTCTCTCTTCTGGCTTGTCGTGTTTTGTAGTGAATTTGAACGTTGGCCTGTCTTCCTAGGTTGGAGAAGTTCTCCTGGATAACATCCTGAAGAGTGTTTTCCAACTTGGTTCCATTCTCCCCGTCACTTTCAAGTACACCAATAAGATGTAGATTTGGTCTTTTCACATAGTCCCATATTTCTTGGAGGCTTTGTTCATTTCTTTTTACTCTTTTTTCTCTAAACTTCTCTTCTTGCTTCATTTCATTCATTTGATCTTCAATCACTGATACCCTTTCTTCCAGTTGATCGAATCAGCTACTGAAGCTTGTGCATTCGTCACATAGTTCTCATGCCATGGTTTTCAGCTCCATCAGGTCATTTAAGGTCTTCTCTATGCTGTTTATTCTAGTTAGCCATTCGTCTAATCTTTTTTCAAGGTTTTTAACTTCTTTGTGACAGGTTTGAACATCCTCCTTTAGCTCGGAGAAGTTTGTTATTATCAATCTTCCGAAGCCTTCTTCTCTCAACTCATCAAAGTCATTCAGAGTGAACAGACAACCTACATAATGGGAGAAAATTTTTGCAATCTACCCATCTGACAAAGGCCTAATATCCAGAATCTACAAAGAACTTAAACAAATTTACAAGACAAAATCAAACAACCCCATCAAAAAGTGGGCGAAGGATATGAGCAGACACTTCTCAAAACAGACACATGAAAAAATGCTCATCATCACTGGCCATCAGAGAAATGTAAATCAAAGCCACAATGAGGTACCATCTCACACCAGCTAGAATGGCAATCATTAAAAAGTCAGGAAACAACAGGTGCTGGAGAGGATGTGGAGAAATAGAAACACTTTTACACTGTTGGTGGGACTGTAAACTAGTTCAACCATTGTGGAAGACAGTGTGGCGATTCCTCAAGGATCTAGAACTAGATCCTTGAGGACTAGAAATACCATTTGACCCAGCCATCCCATTACTGGGTATATACCCAAAGGGGTATAAATCATGCTGCTGTGAAGACACAGGCACATGTATGTTTATTGCGGCACTATTCACAATAGCAAAGACTTGGAACCAACCCAAATGTCCATCAATGACAGACTGGATTAAGAAAATGTGGCACATATACACCATGGAATACTGTGCAGCCATAAAAAATGATGAGTTCATGTCCTTTGTAGGGACATGGATGAAGCTGGAAACCATCATTCTGAGCAAACTATCACAAGGACAGAAAACCAAACACCGCATGTTCTCACTCATAGATGGGAACTGAACAATGAGAACACTTGGACACAGGGTGGGGAACACCACACACCGGGGCCTGTCATGGGGTGAGGGGAGTGGGGAGGGATAGCATTAGGAGACATACCTAATGTAAATGACGAGTTAATGGGTGCAGCACATCAACATGGCACATGTATACATATGTAAGAAACCTTCATGTTGTGCACATGCCCTAGAACTTAATGTATAATAAAAAAAATGAAAAACTTTTAGCTAACAGAAAAAAATTAACAGCAGATTACATTTATACATACATTATATATATATAAAATATATATGTATGTAGATATAGATATAAGAATATAACCCAGACTATAGTAGTTGATAAAAGGGTTGACTAATTTTTTTAAATTCTGATTGCTATGGACTAAATCATGTCCTTTATTTTTAAATACCATTTAAAGATAAAATTATACAATCTTCAGGCTATGATACATCTTTAAAGTAGATTTTTCAGATAAAATACAGGAAGCTGTTAAATTTGAATTTCAGATTAACGAATTTTTTAAAGTATACATTCATAATGAAAATTGCATAACTCTGTGCCCCAAAGATTTCATGGGACATTCTTACACTAAAAATAAGGCTGTTTTACTGAAATTCAAATTTAACTGCAAGTCTTTGCGGGGAAAACAGTGATAATATGATCTGATGGGTGCCAAGATTATGTCCAGGTGCTACACGAGAGCAGATGACAAGTACTTTGGACACATTCACAAGACACAAATTTAAGATCTCGAGGTCAAATGTTAGAAAGCCATAGTACAGTATGAAGCTACATATACTGAAAGTCAAAAACATATAACTGGCATACAAGAGTGGGATTATAGTGGAGGGCCATGGTAAAATTCTTTCAGGTGTTTTGAAAAAGCTCTTTTTCCTCTTTAAGCTGAATTGTGAAATCAAAGAGCCTACATCCTGTGGTAATTAATTACAGTAGATATCAAAGAAGCATCATCAAAAAGCAACACCCAGACTAATACAACGTAGCTATTGATGAATTTTTTAAAATGCATGAAAGCATTAGTACATGAAGCCTCCGGCAGTTTCTATGAAATTTTGAAAGTAATTTTGATGAAAGTTACCCTAATAATATTTGAGTATCTAAGAACAGCAACTCAGCCTTACACATCTCAGTATTTCTAGCACTTAGCACAATGCCTGATACGGAGTTAGTATGTAATAATATTTTTAGAATAAATGAACGAATAACTTCTCACCCCCTTAGTTATTCTTTATCCTCTCTGCTTCAAATTCACTTTGTCTAACGGTTGGTCTACTGGGGATTATCTTGATTAAGACTCAAACTTACAGGGACTATGGAAAATAACTTAAGTCGTAGAGCTTCCTTCAAGGAAGAAATGCAACCAGAATCTCTGCTCACAGTATGCAAAACAGGATAGCAAAGTTATACTGGGTTCGAATGGGCATCACCATCTCTGAGAAGCAGCCTGGTACATACACAGCAATGGTATCGAGGTGGCTGATGATCCTTGAAGTCCGATAGATGGAGGCATTCTAGTGTGTGACCTGCCAGGGCCCTAAAGAGTAGCAAACACCTGTTTTCCCCTAGTGGAAATGATCGGGCCCAGGTTATGCCATTTTCATTATGAGAAAGGTGTGCTAAGGTTCGTAACATTCAACCCTAGCAAGAAATGGCAGTGTGGATAGTAGATGGTTAGTGTGACATAAAGGTGTAGGAAAATGTTATATAGTGAATGAGATCTATTGGACACCAGGACAGATTTATTTTAGGATGAATAATGGTCCTAAATCTCCCCACTCAAAACAAACAAGCAAACAAACAAACAAACAAACAAAAAGAAAGAAAATGCTTAAGGTTCACCCCCATAAAAATTCAAAGAAAATTTAAAATTATCTTTTAAAAAGTTCCAAAAAGTGCTACAATATTTTGATTTATCCCCATGATAGATGCTTCAATATTTATTTTCAAATAGCAAGAATAAAACACAAAATCTTTTTTTAAGTAATGCATGTATTTCATGCTCCTGCAATGCTTGTGATTAGTTTGCCCTTTAAGTAGCCCAGTAGTAGGTGTAAGATGCCAAAACTAATTCTAGCCAGTCCCTTCCTACTGCTGAACCCAGGCTAAAATTGTGACACCTCCATTGGTAACGTATGATTCTGTGATAGGTAATTCCGTTCAATAGTCAACAGAGGCAGTCACATAGGATATACCTGTGTGCTGACTGTGGATGCTTTGTCACTGTGTCCTTAATGCATTTAAAAATTGTATTTACTCATTGTGAATATCTTATAAATGCACATGATATATCATTTAAAATATATAATACATTAATGAGTAAAAGTAAGTATACCTCCTGTTTTCTTATGTCCTTTCAGATGTATCTGAAATGTTTATGTGTTCTTTATTTTTATACAAATTGAGTATAGCATATTAAGCACACTGTTCTACACCTTATTTTTTTATTTTTCAGTACAACTATAGTGGTTTCATGAATGTACAGGATTCCTTTGAAGTGATGTACTGTAATGTTTTACCAGTGCCTATAAACAAGCTGATTCCAGAATTTTTGTATTATCAATAATATAACAAATATCGTTATTAAATATATCATTTTGCACAACTGTGAATATGTTCTAGAATATGTCCAAATGGTATTTTCAGTTGTTATTTTGAAGTATATTTTCAAAATTCCTTCCTTAGTAGTTGTTTTAATTTACACATCAACAGGAATTACTTGGTTTTGAAATGCTCATAATTTTATCTCCTTCTTTTCCTAATAACTACATATCCATCTTTGAAGATCAGCCACTTCCTCATACACCCACCAATGCAGCATGTCATCACACATGTGATCTTGGCAAACAGGATATAAGAAAGATTATATATCAATATGATCTTAATTTGCATTTTTTATGAATATGTCAAAATATTATTTCATATGCTTAAGAAACAGCTATAATTTTTCTGTCAACCATTCCTAATCTTTACTACTTTTTGTTTTGAGTTCATCCTGTTTTCTTTATTGATTTGTAATCTTTTCTTAACAAGGAAAGTAACTCCTTGTGATTCAAGTTGAAATTATTTTTCTAGTTTCCCATTTATCTCTTGACTTTATCTTGTTGATAAAATGAGATTTTTAAAAATTTTTCAGGGATCAAACTTATCAATCTTTTCTAATGACTTCTGAGTTTTGTTCTTATTTAGAAACATTATTTTGAATAATCAAATTGTTTATTTTCTTCTAAGACTTTTAGAGTTTATATTTCATGTCTATTTCCATTTCATTGTGTGAGTTATCAGAATTTATTTTGTTCTAATGTGTGAGGTATAGATCTGTTTTTATTTATTCCAGAATTCTATCCACTTTTACCAGCCATAAAATTAAATAATCTATTTTTTCTCTACTAATTTGAAGGTCATGTTTATTGTATATAAATAGCCAATTATATTTGGATATATTTTTATATCAGTAGGTATTAAATAATGGCAACTTTGCGCCTTTGGGGACATTTGGCAGTCTCTGGAGATGTTTTTGATTGTCACAACTTGGGAGAGTTATTGTCATTTTTGGGTAAAGGCCATGGATGTTGTTAAATCCTACAATGTACCAGACAGCATCTGACAAAAAGAATTATCCATCCCTAAAGTGCTAAGACTTTACTAATGTTCTAGTTACTCACTACTGTTCTAGACTTTATATTCTGGTCCATTGATCTGTTTGTTTATATCATACAGTATAAACTATTACAGTTTTCTGATATAATATGTGTGATGATTAATACTGAGTGTCAACTTGATTGGACTGAAGGACACAAACTACTGATCCTGGGTGTGTTTGTGAGGGTGTTGCCGAAGGAAATTGACGTTTGAGTCAGTGGGCTGGGAAAGGCAGACCCACCCTTAATCTGGGTGGGCACCATCTAATCAGCTGTCAGCATGGCTAGAATATAAGCAGGCAGAAAAGTGTGAAATGAGAGACTGCCTAGCCTCCTGGCCTACATTTCTCTTGTGCTGGATGCTTCCTGCCCTTGAACATCAGACTCCGTTCTTTAGTTTTGGAACTTGGAATGCCTCTCCTTGATCCTCAGCCTGCAGATGGCCTATCGTGGGACCCTGTGATCATATGATTTAATACTTAATAAACTCCTATAATATATATAGGCTACATGTAATTATTTATTTGCCTTGTTTTGTAGGAAATAGAAAAGAATTTTGTGGGAAATAGAAAAAAATAGGAGTTTATTAAGTATATATATATAATAGAATATATATATATAAATAGAATGTGTATATATATATGTATGTGTGTGTGTGTGTGTGTATATATATATATATATATATATATATATATATATATATTCCATTAATTCTGTCCTCTAGAGAACCCTGACTAATACAACATCTAATAAGGCTATTCTCTCCTCAGTATGTATCTTTTTATTAAAAAAAAAATCCTGGTTTTTACTGATTGTTCACTTTACAAAAAAAAAAAGAAAAAAAAGAAAAAAAAAGTTTCCCTACCCCCCAAGCTACTAAGTAAATCTCAAAGCATTTTTGTTGACATGGTGTTAAATGTTAAACAATTTAGGGAGAATTGCTGTCTTTATATTTTAACACCTCTTATTTCAAATCATTATTTGCACTCAACGCCTTCTTTTGTATCCCTTTTGTCCTCTAAAATTTTCTTTGAGTCTTCCTGTGCTTGTTATATTTACTACCTTTTAACATTTATTTGAAATGGGAATTTACCTTCATGATATTTTTGTAGTGTTCTTTGTTTTAAACTAATTGGTTTTTATAAACTAATTTTCAGCTTAATTATTTTATCCTTTATAAATATTTTTGACTCTACAAAGTTTTGAAAAAATTTTGTTTTACAGTAAACAATTACAAAATCTCCAGAGAATAATTTCATATCCTTTCTAATTTTTATACCTCTTACTTTCCTTTATCTAATTGTATTGTCTTATAACTCACAGACAATACTATATAGTGGTGGTAGTAAAGAGTTTCCTTGTTTTGTTTCTGGCTTTAATGAGAATGCTGTTTTCCGATAAGCATAATATATCTCTAACTGTTGCTATTTTGTACAAAATAAATGTTAAATTCTAACAATTTTTATAAACTTTTTTGAGATTATTGTGATTTGTCATTCCTAGGGAAATTTGTTAATAGGTTACCCAATAATAAAACATTGTTTTATTCCTGGAAAACTGTAGCTGGTAATGATTTATTATACTTCTAATATGTTTCTAGAATCTGTTTATTAAGCTTTTAAAAAATGTTTTGTGGTAAAGTATGCATAATGATAAAAATATTAATGCATTTTAATGCAGTAATAAAATATTATTAACATTTTATCTTTTTATATTGTAACGTATGCATAACATAAAATGTATCATTTTAACCATTTTTAAATATTCAGTGATATTAGTTACATTTACATTTTTGAGTTATCCAATCAATTTTACTCTGCTACTCATAACTTTAATAGAATCTTTAAGTTGTGCATTGCTAATTATTTTTTCAAGCTATCTTCTTTGGAGTTTTATCTTTTATCTTCTTTCTTTCTTTTCTTCTTGTTAACTTTGATCCATCATTAAAGTATTCTCTTGAAACACTTTAAAATTCTTATGTTTTTACATTTAAACAACAGGAAAATTGGAAAAGAATGTCACAAATATAACGTGTTATTTGCCTAATGCTTTATCCTTTCCATGGCTCTTTCATGTTCTTTATCTTATGTGAATCTCAAGAGAGTACCCATAGGACATTCACAATGACTATCATAAACAGCAGTCCCTATTAGTACATATGATGTAACTGATTACAATGCAGATGTTCATATTTAGACAACGTGCAATAAAATAAATATTTATTGCTTAACTACTTCTTTGAAAACCAACTGTAAATTTATAAGCTTAACAACTTCAGGACTAGCATATCATAGTCATCAATGTAACACTACTATGGATGTTGCTAACTTTTCCAAAATTCTTTTCTATTGCCTACAAAATAAGGCAAATAAATAATTACATGTAGTCTTTGGATGAAAGTTTTTTGGAAATAATAAGAAATTTAGAATACAAACATTGTGTTCCTGCATAGCACTCTAGTTTTCATTCTAGAGTCACATTTTTAAATTTAAAAACCATCTGATGCCCCAGGTGGATTTACCTAATAGATAATCATGTGAATGTCAGTAAATTGAAATCACATTTAGAAATTTGGTGAACAATACTGAAGTAAAGTGAAAATATTTACTGACTCCTTCCTACTTATCCTTTAGATCTCAGCTTAAATGATTACTTTATCAGGGAAACCATTCATAGCTCTTCAGGCCAAGTTAGATCTCCATGTTAATATACACTAATTACATTCCACTTGTTACTTCTGCAACTGTTTCAATTGAAATGAAATAAGAATGTGTATTGTCATTTCTTTATATATGTTTCTCTTGCTAGACATGACCCTGGTTAATATATCATAGTATCAATATATTATTATATCTGTCACAATCCAATATAGAGTTAAATAAATGAGGTAGACATCAACTATACAGTTTTGGACTAAGGCATGTGAGACAAACCACACGGTTAGGGTTTTACCCTCAAAATATTCATGATTGGGTATCCACAGGGCACTTGCGTGAAGTAGAGTTGAAACCATTCAACAAATACTTATTACATATCTACTCTGAGTAAGCTCCAATCTGAGGATTGTGAAGCCTACACAAGCATCCAAATGGTAGAGAGTAATAAATTACAGATCTAATTACTAGATCAGAGTGACATAAAATTTTTCATAAAATTATTCTTTACCTTCTGAAGGAGCAGCAAAATGTGACTTGGAAAGAGCAGAGAGATATTTGTATGTGCACAGAGAAGACATAAGTTCTTTATGAGAGATGGCAAGGATATTGGTTTGGCTGGCTCAGTCTCAGTAGCAGGAAAAATGAAGAATGGAAGTGGTTGTCTTTGTTCCCTTAACAAAATGAATTATGTCTCACAATAATGAAGAAGGAGGTCTAAAGAATTTAAATAGAAACAAAGAAAACTTTATATAATTTTACATATATATTTTATATACATATATACATGCATGTATATATGCATGCATGTGTATATGCATACATATGTGTATGTGTATATACATGCACACATACATGTTTACATGTATATGTATGTACACATATGTGTATATATATTTTTGTATGTATGTGTGTATATTTGTGTGTGTGTGTGTGTGTATTTTACACCAGTCCCGGTATCTCTTGAGTGACACTGCATGGCATGCTGTGTTCTCCCTAGGGAACTGTGAGTAACAAAACTCTATAACTCTTTCAAGTTTATCTCTCTTGATCTGTGTTTGCCCTCACAATACCTCACACAAAGTAATGTGGCCAAACCACTGTTAACAGGGCATAAATATTCAATCAATTTCAGCAAAAGTATTTTCAGTTTCAGAATCGAATCGACTGAAACTCGCAGAGCATCTTATTTGTCAGCATGACCCTAATTGTCTGTGTTTAAACTGACAAAGGAAACTGAGACATTTACTTCTGTTATCTAAGAGAGTAAGCTGGAAAAGTTGAACCAGTTGAATGCCTGTGTCCAAGCCGGTTGTTAACTGAAAACATTCACAATGTCACCAACCTATAGGAGGAGGACACCCAACTCTAGAAAAATGAAAGAAAATATTCTTTTAATTGACAAGAACAATTAGGTTTTGACACCTTAAAAATAAATCAAGACAACAGCTAAATTTTATTATAAGCTTTTTCCTGTAAAATATGAAAGTATATCAAAATAAGAAAGCCTATTGTAAATGTAATGAAATAATTTTACAGTTTTATACAACTAACTGAATGTTAAGTTTTAATTCACTTAAGAGCTATTTTTCATGTCTTGTTTTAATGGATCATTTTCTGGGACTTATTTTTAAAGAGACTTGAGATGAAGGAAAAAATAAAAGGGACAGGATATGCCTTTCGCCAGGAGTACTCAATGAACTTATTCTGTAGCAGCTGTGTTTCTTAGGCATCTGTATGAGTCCAGGAAAGTTTCAGGTTTGAAATAATAATACTATGAATCACTATTAGATGTATTTATCAAACTGTGTTTTTAACCTAGCTCTAAAATTCTCCGGAGAAAAAGCAGTAATAAAATAATTTATAATTTTGACTTATGTCCTACTCATAGCCTGGGGCATCAGATGTTTTTGATTCCTTTCTCTATTCGATAAATTATAGCTTGATTTATCTAAACATCTTTTTGTCAAGTTCTGTTAGCTACTTTTTGCTTCTATGGAAATATTAGATCTACTTTCCTAGGGAAAAAACAAAGCAGAAGACCTCTGGATTAGTGTGTGGTTGAACATCAAGGATCTGACCTAATTTGAATTCTAGATCTTAGATTTACTAGTTGTGCAAGCTTGAGATGATCACTTAAAATCTCTGAGCATCTATTTCATATCTTTAAAATATCAACAATGATAGCTTTCTTTTAGAGTTCTCAGAATTTAAAGAGCTAATGCATATGAATACTCTATATAAAACCTTCTACACAGAAGGTGCTAAATAGTTTGCAAACGGGGGTATAATTTACATAGGCTGTATATCTGTACATATTAATATAAATTTAAGCCAACAAAAGAAGAATTTGCTTTCCTGATTTATCAATGTCTTGCCTTCATTGTTATCTTTGGCCTGATTATAATAAACACTGAACTTATATTTCATGATACATTTAACACTCGAGTGCTTTCCTAAGTATTTTACACAGAAATGATTGTTTTTATTTTAACAAAATTTAAAAGCTACCATGGATTGAACATATAATACCTACCAATCATCATACTAAGCATTTTGTTTTAGTCTGAAAATCTTCCTGTGGGTTTGGTGTTTATTTGTAGATTCTTTCTCTCTTGTTTTCTCTCTCTTCCTTCCTACCTTTGTTCCTTCCTTCTGTTCTTATTCCCTATCCCCTTTTATATAGTCTATGTAGAGTTTATACAGAGAGAACACCTAGCTCTCCTTGTGCACAAGTTTGAACTTGGTCAACATGTATTAATAGTTGCTTAATTTGGCAATCTATGATTGTTAAAGCACATTATTAATAGTTTTTTTAAAAACCAAACATGTTAATATTGCAAATACTAAACTTCACCATTTAGGACACCTTCAAAGGAGAACTATACATGTTCCATGAAATTGCTGCCTAGGAAACAAATGATTTCCTCTTATTTTTAGCATAGAACTGTAGGTATATGGAAGCTCTGAATCGGCCCACACACTGCATGAACACTGATATTTATGAAACCAACATGACAGTAGGGGGACTTCTACCTAGTGGTCATCAGAGATGAAATGTATAAATTTTGTGTAAGAATTATCTGACAGATTATATGGATAGGGACTTTCCTCTAAATTACTGAGAGAAGATGGAAAGACAGGTCATACGACTAGATCCTCAGAATAAGGTGACCAAGTAGATTTCTACAAGTATTTTGTTCCTTTTTCAGATAAGAAGTATGAGTGCAAGGACTAAAAAGGGAGATTTAGTCCACTCAAAGAAACTACCAAATATGTATAAGTAAGCAGCACTGAAATATTGCCACAAAATGTCTAGACTCTGCTGAAGGAATAGGTCATACTGTGAATAAAGGTGCAGTTCAGTTTATCAACCTAGGCCAAAGAATAATCTGTGCCCTGTCAGGACAAATAAGATGCAGGTACAATTATCTGAAACAATCTAATACCAACACCTTGGAAGTATAATCAAGGTATTCTGTGTCCTCCTTTATGGTTTAACCATTTAAGTGCACTATGGTTAGTACATTTTTCATGTTTAAACTGCTTAGTTAAGTTGCATATAAATTATTTCTCCTCCAAGTTCTCAGCATACATATCCAAAAGTTTAGCTTCAAGGTCATACTTTTCTCAGAGAACAATAACTTAAAAATAGTGCCACTGGTTTCTTGAAGAACTTCCAATATTTGAAGTATTAATATAAACAGATATTTATTAAAATTATTGCTTCTTAATGTGTTATGCTTCCCAATGTGTTACGTTATTTATTAAAATTATAGCTTCCCAGTAAGGTGGCAGAACCCTTCAAGGAAGCTTATGTTAAATACATAATTATTTTGATTACCTTGGGTTCTTAAGACATTTCTTTTCAGTTTAAAACATAGTTTTCTTATCAGAATCCTCATTCTTTCCATTCTATTCAGAAAAGACTTGAAATTTGAAGAATAGTAGAGGACAAAGATGGTTGATCTACTGTTTGAACATTTTTCCCTGATTTAGCACCTGGAACAGAAGTAGATGACTTTGCCTTTAAACGTCCTTCATGTTTTCTCTCTATCCTAGTTTCTCGTTACTTTACCACTGAGGCAAAGAAGAAGAATTGAGAGAAAAATAATCCTCTTTTGTGGCTGCTGATATGGTAGTATAGAGAAGGTACCCCTGACCTTACCCAATCTGATGCTCAGATGCTCCAGGGGTATGTTGGATTCTGTATTATTGATGAGCCTAGTTTTCTGATGGTATCCAGATTCATTTAGTTATCTCTCTTCAAGAACCACTCATACAATACAGCCAAGCTCCTCAACAATGTCACCAAAGATATATGCTGTCAACCACTTCTCTGGGTTGGGCAATTTATTGCTTGACCAGTCAGCTGGCTAGGATGCTTCCTAAATTACATCTCCCAGCTAACTTTTATTAACTTTATGTGGAGCTATTGGAACACTGGAGCCTGCTTCTGCACTTCCAAGATCATCAGAGAATTCAAATGTTGTAGGGTCACCACCATATTTTCTTCAGACACCATATTTTATCTTAGAGTTCTGCTGGCCTAGGTTGCTCTGGAAGGCTCTAGATTTAAGATATGCCTATACTAAAAATAGACACCAAATATATCTATCTTCATATGTATACCTACACTTTAGGTCAAGCTCCCTCAAAAATAATCTCACCATGCCCCAGACTGACAGGCCAGATAATTTGTTTTTCAATCACCACTACTCAGGTAGTTAATAAGATACCAATACCCTCTTTTCATAAACCAACCCATTCTTAATTAGAGATTCTCCTGGGACACTCTTTACTAGATCTGAAGGAAGATAACATCTCACTTTTCTTTTTCTTTTTTTTTTTTTGAGATGGAGTCTCGCTGTGTCACCAGGCTGAAGTAGAATGGTGTGATCTCGGCTCACTGCAACCTCCACCTCCTGGGTTCAAGCGATTCTCCTGCCTCAGCCTCCTGAGTAGCTGGGACTACAGACACATGCCACCATGCCTAGTTAATTTTTGTATTTTTAGTAGAGGCTGTGTTTCACCGTGTTGGCCAGGATGGTCTCAATCTCTTGACCTTGTGATCTGCCTGCCTCGGCCTCCCAAAGTGCTGGGATTACAGGCAACACCTCACTTTTCTCTCCATTTCAAGAAAAATGCTTGTGCCTATGCCTGTGCCTAATCCAACAGCCAACGTGGTTACAGCCCAGTTCCCCAGAGAGCCCACCACACAGCCTGTTGGCACATTGTGCTCATATTCACCCAACATGACCAGCCCAGAGACACAACCTCAAGCAATACCACACCACCACCATCACAGACTCCTATAGCCTAGACCACAGAGGCAATAACAGATATCATGGACAAGGATTTCAACCGAAGTAACTGCATGGAGGTCATACTACAGAATCCATCCACAGCTAAAGGCAATGTACCATACCCAACTGACATCCTAGGATCCATCTTCAGGGAAAAGTCTTTTCTTACAAAAGCACTCGATAAAATAGGGGAAAAATGACTGTTCTACTAGATTTGCAGATATCAACACACGGGCACCAGACACATAAAAAGACAAGGAAATTTGACACCCCAAAGGAACATAAGTCTTCAGAAACAGATTCCAAAAAAAAAGTATTTCTGAAATGCCTTAACAGGAAATAAAAATAGTGATCTCACAGGAACTCAGGATACAACAAAATACAGACAAACAATTCAATGAATTCAAGAAAATAATTTGTGATAGGAACGAGAAGTTCAACAATAAGATAAGTATCATATAAAAGAACCAAGCAGAAATCTTAGACCTGAATAATTCAATGAATGAAATATAAAACACAACTGAGAGTTTCAACAAAAGACTAGCTCAAACAAAAGAAGGAATTTCTGAACTTGGAAACAAGTCCTTTGAAATAACAAAGTCAGAAAAATATAGAAATAAAAGAGAATAAAGAGATACTACAGTACTTATGAAACATCATTACATGAACAAATATTTGGAGCATCATATTACTGTAGGAGGCACAGAAAACCTATTTTACACAATAATGATTGAAAACTTCACAATACTTGAGCGAGATATGGACATCCAAATCCAGGAAGCTAAAAATTCCCCAGTTAGACTCAGTGTAAAAAGATTCTCTCTAAGCCATGTTATAATCAAAATGTCATTTGTCAAAGACAAATTTTAGCTCACACATATGAGTGAAGCATGCAGTATTTTTCTTTCTGTGTCTTATTTCACTTAACATAATATCATCCAGGCTCATTTATGTTGCTGCAAATTACAGCATTTAATTCATCTTATGGTGGATAGTGTTCCATTGTGTGTGTGTGTGTGTGTGTGTGTATATCTGCAGATACAGTGTTCCATTGTTTGTGTGTGTGTGTGTAACATTTTCTTTGTATATTCATTTGCTGATGGATACTCAGGTGGATTTTATGTCATGGCTATTGTGAATAGTGCTGCAGTAAAGTTGTACTCATAGAAGAAAATAGATTTATGGTTATTAGAGGCTGAGAAAAGTAAAAGAAAGGGGAGCATAGGGAGAGGTGATTAATACATATAAAGTTACATGTAGATAGGAGCAATATGTTCTCAGGTTCTATAGCACTATAAGGTAACTATAGTTAATAATGATTTATTGTATTTGTCAAATAGCTGAAAGAGAGGTTGTTGAACGTTCTCAACACACACACACAAAATATTTGAGATGATGGATATACTAATTACCCTGACTTGATCACTACCTATTGTATTCATGTATCAAAATATTACTCTGTACCCCATAAATATATATAACCATTATGTTTCCACTAAAAACAACTTTTTTAAAAAGTTGTAAACAAAGAATTCTAGAAGCTGCAAGAGAAAAGCATGTAGTTACACATCAGCAAATTCTTATTACTCTGTCAGCAGATTTCTGCAAGCATAAAACTGCAGGCTGGTAAAGAATAGGGAGATATATTCAAATTGGTAAAAGAAAAAGCATGGTACTCAAGAACACTATATTCAGCAAAGCTAGTCTTCAAAAATGAAAGGGAAATAAACACCTTCCTAGACAAGCAAAATCTTAGGAAATTTATTACCACTATACTGGTCTTACACAAAATGCTTAAGGGAGTGCTACAACCAAAAATGAAAGGATGGTAATTACTATCATGAAAACATGTAAAAGTATAAAGCTCACAAGTAGAGATAAGTTCAAAATCAAACTCAGAACACCCTTGTGCTGTAATGAGCCATGTAAATCTTGTAAAAAACAATAGCTACAATTAGTGGCTAAGGAACCCACGGTAGATAAAGATGTAAATGAAGGCAACAAAAATATAAATTGTGGAGTGTGAGGAAGAAAATTTAAATGGTATTTTTATGTGGCCAAAGTAAATTTTTATTAGTTAAAAATAGTCTATTGTAACTACAAGACTTTAGCTTCATGATAAGTACAAAGAAAAAAATTACAACAGATATACATGTAAGAAGGAAAATAAAGTTTAGCACAACAAATAACCACCAAACCACAGACAAAAACAATAAGAAAGGAAGAATGGAATAAATAATCTATGAAAGAACCAGAAAATAATTAACAAAATGGCAGGAATATGTTTTTACTGATCAATAATAACATTGAAGTAAATTGATTAAGTTCTTCAATTAAAAGATATAGATTGACTAAATGGATATAACAAGACACAACTATATGCTGCTTATAGGAGACTCACTTTATCCTTGAAGATACATGTAGACTGAAAGTAAAGGGATGGAAAAAGATATTCCAAATAAATGGAGACCAAAAGTGAGCAGGACCAACAATGCTCAAATTAGATAAAATAGGCTATTACAAAAACTGTAAAAAGAGACATAATAATGGGGGGAAGAACCACATGATAATCTTATTGATGTTAAAAATAGCATTTTACAAAATGCAGCACACTTTCATAATAAAAACACTCAAAAAACTAGAAATAGAAGGAAATTTTCTCAGCAAAGGCCATACAGGAAAAACCCACAATTAACGTCATATTCAACAGTTAAAACAAAAAGCTATTGCTCCAAGATGAGAAAGAAGGCAAGAAGACCTACTTTTGTGACTTCTGTACAACATGGTACTGGAAGTCCTAGCTGAAACAATCAGGCAAGAAAATGAAATTAAAGCCATCCAAATTGGAAAGGAAAAAGCAAAATTATATCTCTTTATAGTTGAAATAATCTTTCTTGTATAAAATACTAAGGATTCCACAAAAAAAATTAGTAAAATTCATAAATTCAGCAAAGTTGAAGGATACAAAATCAATTTCATATAATCATGATGAACAATTCACAAAAGGATATTGAGAAAGCAATTTTGTTCACAGTAGTATCAAAAAGAGTAAATTACCTAGGAATAAACTAACCAAGAAGGTGAAAAACTTGCACACTACAGACTACAAAATATTGATGAAAAAATTAAAGATGTAAATAAATACAATGAAATGTTCATGAATTAGAATAATCATTATTGTTAAAATATTCATACTACCCAAAGTGATCTACAGGTTTAATACAATTCCTATTAAAATCCCTATGGCACCTTTTTCTTAGAATAGAAATCCTAAAATTCACATGGAATTCCAAGGTCCCCAAATACCCAATACAATCTTGAGAAAGAAAACCAAAGCTAGAGATCTCATACTTTCTGGTTTCAAAACATATCATAAATCTACAGTAACAAAAACATGGTACTGCTATAAAGACTGACATATAGACCAATGGAACAGTATTCTGTTCCATCCAAATATATAGATATAGCCCCAAATAAACCCACACATATATGGTCAATTGATCTTTGAAGAGGATGCCAAGGTTACACAATGTGAAAAGGAGAGTCTCTTTTTCAAATGGTATCAGAAAACTGGGTATCTACATGTGAAAGAATGAAGTTGAACCCTTACCTTATATAACGTACCAAAATTAACTCAAAATGGATTAAAAACCTAAACGTAAGACTTGAAACTATAAAACTCCTAGAATAAAATTTAGGAAAAAACTTTATTACGTTGGACTTGGCATGATTTCTTGGAAATTACATTAAAAGCACAGCAACAATGAACAAATTAACAAACTGAACTACATCAAATTTTAAAACTTCTCTACCGAAAAGAAAACAATCAACTAACTAAAAAAGCAGCCTATGGAATCTGTAAAAATATTTCAAAGCATATATCTGATAAGGCGTTAATATTCAGAATACAAAAACAACACCTAAAATTCAGTAACAATGACAGCAACAAAACAAATAACTTGATGGAAAAATAGGCAAAGGACTTAAATATAAATTTCTCCAAAGATGTAGAAATGGCCAATCACCATAGGAAAGGATGCTCAACAACACGAATCATCAGGGAAATGCAAATCAAAACTGCAATGAGTTACCACCTTATACCAATTAGAAAGGTAACTATAAAAAACAGAAACAGAAACCAGAAAATAACAAGTATCAAAAAGGATGCAGAGAAATTGGATTCTTTTATAGTAGTGGTGGGCATGTAAAATGGTACAGCACTTCGGAAAACAGTATAAAAGTTCCTCAAAAAATTAAAAATAGAACTACCATACAATCCAGCAATCTCACTTCTGGGTATGTACCCAAAATAATTAATAACTGGGTCTGGAAGAAATATTTTCACACCAATGTTTACTCTGCAGTGTTCACATTAGCCAAGAGGTGAAAGCTGTCTCAATGTTCATCAAAAATGGAATATTCAGCATTAAAATAGGGAAATCCTGTCACATACTACAACATGAATAAACCTTGAGGACGTTATGGCAAGCAAAATAAACCAGTCACAAAAGACAAATATTTCATGTTTCAATTTACAAGAGATATCTAACGTAGTAAAACTCTTAAAAACAGAAAGTATAATGGTGTTTGCCAGAAGCTGGGGGAGGGGAAAGAAAGAGTTGTTCAATGGGTATGTATTTTCAGTTTTGCAAAATAAAACTAAATTCTAGAAATCTGTTGCACAACAGTGTGTGTATAGTTAACACTGCTGTACTATACGCTTAAAAATGGTTGCAATGTTGAATTCAGTTATGTGTTTTACTATAATAAAAATTATTAAAATTGTTTGGCTATTTAGATTTTTTGTCTTTTCATATAATGTATTGTCCCTTTAATATATGCAGTGTCTTTTTTAACCTAATATTGGTAATTTGTATTTTTTATTGATCCATTTGAACAGAGATTAATTTTATTGATCTTTTTGAAGAAACAGCTTTCAGTGTCACCTTTTCTCGATTGTTTTTAGTTTTCTATTCTTATTGTACTGATTTCTATTTCATTACTTTATTCCCTTAATTATTTTTTCTCTCTTTATTTAGAGCTTACGCTTCTTATTCTAGTTCCTTAAATTGAAGGCTTAGACCATTGATTCATTGCTTTATTCCCCTCTAGTATTAGTATTTAGTGCTATAAATTTATCTCTAAGTTGTATCTAGCATTTTAATATATTGTACTTTTCTTTCCATTTATTTCATTTATATTTTAAAATTTCCCTTGAGATTTCTTTCTTATCCATGTGTTACTTACATTTCCAAATATTTGAAGATTATCTCATTTTTTGCTTTATTTCAATTTAGTTCCATTGTGCTTGATGTGCATACTTTAAATGATTATAATCATTTCATTAATATTTTATAGGTCCAGGATATATATCTTGATGTGTTCTGTGCACATATGAAATAATGCTTTATATGTTTTGTTGGCTATAATGTTCTATAAATAACAATTAGGTCAAGTTGGCTGATAGCTTTGGGATATAGATCTTCTATATCCTTACAAATGTTTTTCTAATTATTTTATCAATTATTTTGACAGGAGCATAGAACTCTACAAATATAATTGTGTATTTTCTATTTATTCTATTACTATTTCTTTTTCTATTTTGAACCTTGTTATTCTTTGCATACCCATTTTGGATTATCACATATTCTTATTGAATTTAACCCATCATAATCACATAACCACCTTTGTTTCTTATTCCGAAGTCAATTTGATTATAATTTGGCTAATATTTGCCTGGTATATCATTGCAAATTGAATCCAGCCCTACATTTTCAAAAGTATAAGATATCATTATTAAATAAGTTTAATTTTATAAATCCAGCATTATGTCAGTGGAGATTAAATTACTGGAGAGTAATTTAATTAAGTATATAAACAAAATACAAAAAAGTAATAATTATCTCAACTGACCTACACAAATATTTGACAAAAATTCAAAATTTATTCCTAATAAAAACTCGCACGACAGTAAGAATTGAAGAGAATTTTCTCAAACTATTAAAGTGTATCTATGAGAAAACTCACGTAAGACTGAAGAATTAAATGTTTTCTTTCTTGAAAATCAGAAACAAATCAAAAATATTTTTTCTTTCTAAATCTCTTTAATATTGTACTGGAGATAGATCATTACTAAAACAATATGACAAGATAAAGACAATGTATATGAATTTGAAATGAATAAATGAGTATTTATAGATATCATGATCGTCTATGTAAAAATTCCCACAAAATACACCCCTCAAAAGCTACTAGAACTAATCAGTTTAACAAAATCACAGAACACAAAGTTAACATACAAAATGTAGTTGTATTTTTTTCTACTATCCACGGTGTTATTAAGAGAAGTCAAAAGAGGTGCTTAGCATACAAAATTTAGGATGGCAATCACTTTCAAGGCTGTAGTACTAGCAAGAAACAATTTTAAATTAAAACTTTAAAAATTTTTGCAGTACCATCAAAACCCTAAAATAATTAGTGATGAATCTGTAAGATAAGATATAAAGTTGAAATTATAAGGGTAGAATCAGATTTTTTTTGTTGTTTTGGTAAGAGCTAGTGGTTGGGGAAGAGTAATTCCAAAATTAAACCAGGGAAGATTCTATGTCTTGACCATGGTAGGGGTTACAAAACCTCATACAGTTGGCCAAATTTATGTAACTAAATTATTTAAAAGAGTATATACTGTGTGCACATTGAACATCAATAAACTTGACCTCATCTGCAAAATATGTCAATGAAGAAATATGAATTGCATAAAACCTAGTATTGATTAATCACATCAGATTACTATATTAGTGATTCAAATGAATGTCTTGGTTCAGAATGATACCATGTGGTCACTATCAGCTTTCTCACATTCACCTATTTTAACACACACTATGCTATCATTTATTCATTTGTTCACTAAATCATCCTCACATTTATCTATTCAACAAATCTTAATGTATGTGCTGCAGGACAATCATTGTACGTAATAGAATAACCTAAGGGAATAGATTCAGGGGTCCTTTTATCTGAGTCACAGTTCACCTCTATTTTATCAGTGTGACCTCAGGGAGTTATATTATGTGTGATGCTCATGTTTTTTCATCTGTAAAATAATGTTAATATTTACCTCCATGTAAAGCTCTCTTGGCACAGTGATTCTGTGATATATCGTGTGATTCTCATGTTTTTTCATCTGTAAAATAAGGTTAATAATATTTACCTCTTTGTAAAGTTCTCTTGGCACAGTGTCTGGCACATATACATAATAGAAAGTAAAATATTTTCCCTTCCCTTCCCTTTATGCCAGCATTTCTAAAGTATGACTTCTGTGCTTTTGGTGTCAGAATCACTTGCTATATATTAAAATCTAATCTTTGAGAATATAATTGCAGAAAGTACAATTTATTAAGCATTGAAATTGGGCATGCAATGATCATCTGATGCCCCTAGGCTTCACTTGTTTTCACCTTCTGCCTCCATTCTTTTTTTTTTCCACAAG
This sequence comes from Homo sapiens, assembly GCF_000001405.40. NCBI lineage: Eukaryota > Metazoa > Chordata > Mammalia > Primates > Hominidae > Homo > Homo sapiens. Next base: position 49,527,505 of record NC_000011.10, on the reverse strand, counting down.
CAAAATTCCCACCTGCACAATCTCCCTTAACCTCTAAAAACAATTTTAACCTTGAACTATGATGGGTTTTATTTTCCTAAAAGTGTCATCAGAGGGCCTTCTGTATTATTTTGGGGGTGCTTAAGAATTCAGATTTTGAACCTCAATCCAGACCCACTGAATTATAATTTGGGGAGGTAAGAATTCAGGAATCTTCATCTAAATAAGCCTCGCAGGTTATTCTTATGCTCTGTAACATTTGAGAACTTTAGCCAAACCCAACAATCACACTTTCCAAAACTCTGATGATATTTGGGCTCAGTTCTGGCAACCCAATTCATATCTACTGTCCTGTTCCTGGTCCTCACTATCTAAGCAGCAGGACTGGGAGATTTCATTGTATTTTTCCTATGCAGATTTTGTCTCAAACCTGCAGCCCCATGAATGAGGGTTGTTTCCTACTGATATCTCTTTATTCTAAAAGTATTGATTGGGCAACTAGTGGGTGTCAGGTCCTAATATAAGTGAGGATATAGTAGTGACAAAAGAAAAAGCAAACAAAACATGTTTTCCTGGAGCTTAGTTTTTAATAATATAGACAGTCAACTAAGAAAATTAAACAAACATAGCCTGTTAGGTGGTAAAAATGCATTATAGAGAAAAGGGAAACAAGGATGGACGTAGAGATTTGAAGATATTTTAAGCAAGATGACAAGGAAAGGCCACACAAGGAGGAGGTGCTGGTTTACCTGCTGCTGCTTGTGCTTTCTAATATTGCTGAATGAAAAGTAATATTTTCATTGTTATTGACATGCCTACCCTCTTATTGGAAGCATGACAGTAATTTAGCATGTCCCTGGCCTCATACAGCCTGCTTGCCTGGCCCACAACATGAAGTCTCTTGCCATAGCCTTAAGATGTCAGATTCCGTGAATGGACTTGGTTTTCTAGAGCCAGGAGCTGGGTCTGGCTTTGTTTTCTGCCCCATGTCACTTTTCCTAAATTGGCCATTACCAACCACACATAGAATAGATTCACCTGGATTTGAAGGGTTAATTGCAGTGACAGGCTACCACCAGAAGAGGGTAGCAGAGGGTTGCAGAGTAAGAGCTGCTGCTGGCCTAGGTCTTCCCCCTACTGAAGAATGAAGTTGTCTTCAAGCAAATGACTAATACAGTCAGTCAAGAGGTGAGTTCACTGGCTAAAGCAATGGCCTGAGAAGAATGTTATTTATAAGAGCTGGGACTGGTCTTGAATTTCACATGCCTTGGAAGAAATAGGGAGTATAGTGTATCAGAGACGATTCTAGTGCCCTAGGATAATATAGATCTCTAAAGTATATCCCATAACATGAATGTCTACTCTACTATGGCCTCTGTCTATTATTCAGGTTCCTCTCCTGTCATTCCTACCCATTCAACCCCTGTTAAGTTCCACCCAATGAAGAACACAATGGCTTCTAAGCATACCATGAGATCTCAAGATTCAGACCTTACTTTTCTTTCTTTCCATAGTAAACATTTATTAATCTCAAGTCCCTTGCTTAAACTGGGTATATAAAACTGAAGCCTCAGTTCATTCCCTTATTTGGGAATAACATGAAGGTGGGACCCAAGACCACCTCTGGGGTTTATCGCTGCAATTCCAGGGACTAGCACAGTACCTGGTACCTTATAAACACTCAATAATTTTTATTGCAAAATTAATCAGTTTATTATATGAGGTAATTAACACAAATGGGAATTATTACAGTTCTTCTTTCTTGAAAGGGCAGCAGGATGACAAATTTTATTTCTACCTTCTGCTCTGCAGAAACCAGATATAATACCTCCTCTGTGAGGCATACCTAGCAGGAAGCCTCCCACATATTGAATGCTTTGAGCAGTCCCCTGACAGTGATATCAAGCAGATAAAGTTGAAAATGTATTAGAGGGAAGCAGTATTTTCTTAAAATGATCATCACTCATGACCCTTGGTTCAAACCAGCCCAGAGGTCATCCTTGTCCCTTGTGTTCCTCAGGGCCAGGACACTGCCACCTGTCAACTGCAGCAGATTTGCCGGCATCTCTCTCAAAACAAAACTAACAGGAATTCTGGTTTAAAAGCCACACAATATTCTTACCATCTAAAGCCGAAAAAATAAAACAGAGAAAGGAATAAGGATTGAGGTGTTTTTTTTTTCCTTTCCGACAATGTTGTAAAAACAAACAAAATAAGACAAAAAAAAACATTTATCTTTCTTAAACTTTATAAGATACCTGTAAAAAGGTATTATTTTAATTATTATCATTTGCCTCATTTCTGAGAGGTATTGAAATAAAGGGATGTAAAAAGGCTTGTTTGGGTCAACCACTGAGGTCTTTTCATTTTAGAGCCCAGGTTTGTTTGTTTGTTTGCTTCTCTTCTGCCATGTTGCCTCAATTCAATTTAGTGTAACTCATGTATTGTGTTTTATAACTTACAAAGTGTGCCAACACTGATTTTCTAGCTTATCCATCATAAGTACCCTATTGTACAGATAAAATACTAGTTCTATCTTTGGACAGATAAGGATACTGAAGTCATAACAAGAACACATGAATTTTGACTGTAAATATGGTCTTCCTTGAACAAATGGGCCCCCCTTGCAAAATGATTCAGTCTGCTTAAATTATAACCTAAGAATAGGCCAAAAGCAGGTCTTTGCAAGGTGAAATCTGTCCTTTTAGTCTAACATGGGTGCTTAAACTGCAACTCAAACTTGTGCAAATATAAGGCAGTAAAAACTTATACAAAATTGCATTTTCTTTATTCAAAATGCAGAAAAGAAAGCAAAAATCAACATTGTCATTTAATCACAGTCCCCACTGCTCTCTCGTGTATTTGTGTTGGGGAGGGAGGTTGTGGATAGCATTAGTATCATTATTATCAGATAAGTAGAGGAAGAATACAGACCAGGTGGAATTGGCCCAGTTGTTTGGCAGAGTGAATTAATGAGTTTTGGGTTGTTTAAAAAAAAAAAAAAGTAAACGTTAGTGCTTACTTTGGTGATAGGGTCTCATAAGGATTAAATTAGTTACATAAGAAAATTAGGGGAATACATTTGGTTTTACTTGAATTAATACCAGGAGGTAATAAAGGGAAATTCCCACAATAGCAAAGAATGATCCTTTGGCAAACCTAAAATCCAAATTGAAACATGACTATGAGAACTGACCTTCCTCATAATGTCAGCAATATTAGAGAGAAACTCAAGTATGGAACGTGGGGTTCAAGCTAATGCAATGCAGAAATTAAGAAGTAGGGAGAGCCTAACTGAGATATAGATTATACTTGAAAATCGCAAGATGACTAGTCAATTTTTATTGAGCAATTATTGTATGCCAGTCTTATTTAATGCATTTCCCATACATTTTTAATTTAATTATCACAATTCTACTAAGTAAATACAATGATCATCAACAGTGTACAAATGAACATTGAGGCTTAGAGATATTAATTTTTTTCTCAAAATCCCACAGGAAATAGAATCAGGCTGGGAATAGTTAGGTGTATCTGATCCAACTGCCTGTGACCTTAATTATTCTTCTTCATAACTTCAAGAACCTGGAAATATAATTTATAGCAGAAACTTTTTATCTCTAAATTATTCATTAATTTATATTCAACTCTGTCACATAGAGTTAACAAGACTTCCAAAAATTATGCTAATAAAGCCATTGCTTAGGAAGCTTCCTTATTATCACCACTTAAATTATAATCAAAATGAGCTATTTCAATGAAATTATCTCACAGTTTGCAAGTTTCTCTTCATTATACCCAGGAACCAAATGCATATGTCAAGGAAAAGCTTAGGTGAGACTTTCCTATTTAGCTTTTAGAAATGTTGACTTTCCAAGGACAAATTGGTATTATAGAATTGTTTAACAACTCTCAGATTATTTGCATCTATACAATGGAAGTGTGAAGCAGCTTCCATATGCAAAGAGATAATGATGGTTCTGTACCTACAGCTAGTTTGAAAATGTTCATTTCAATAAGCATGTCCTCTGTGACTGGGTGTGGTGTCTCACACCTGTAATCCCAGAACTTTGGGAGCCGAGGCGGGAGGATCATTTGAGGCCTGGAGTTCCAGACTAACCCAGGGAGCATAGTGAGATCCTGTTTCTATAAAACAAAACAAAAAATAAGTATGTTCTCTGAGTTGGGCTGTGATTGGTTGTGGCACTGGGGATGAGGGGAAAGGACTAAAAATAAAGGTAACATTTGAACCCTATCCAGGAAGAATGTATGCTTCGAATGAAGAGACTAATTTATTACATATTAAATAACTGATAATTTTTTCAAGAAAATTCACTAGGGAATGATAATATGTTGCTTTCATGATGTAAATGGATACCAATTCCTGAGTGATTTCTACTGCCAGGCACTATGAAAGAAAATTTTCATAGACTATTGTATTTAATCCTCACAACAGTTCTATAAAGTATTTATTATTTACTTTCATCTTATGAGTGAGGAAACCCAGATTCTGTCATGGTCATGGATATTTTGGGAATGAAAGGTATGGGCTTTCAGTTTGAGTGTATGAAGTTCTTGGCTTCCTCTCTTTCAATCTGGGATCCAGTGGGTCTTTGAAATATTATCGTCTAGAACAAATATGAAATTACTTCCACCTATCAAAATCATATAATGTCTTACAGTGCCTGCTATGTCTTATTCACTCTAAAATTGCCTTGTTGGATGATCAATGTATCAGTTAGGAGTGTTTGGGGATGCAGGTAAAGAAAACCTGTTAAACGATGACTTAAGTGACTTAAGATACATGGATTACAGCTCTCACATAACAAGCAGTCTGGCAGCAAGATGCTGCCAGTATGGTTAAAAGATTCAGTGAAAGCTGAGCCAACATTATATTGTTCTCTTTGCTGTTTCCCATGGTGACATGAATGCTGCCCCCACTTCAAGTATCATATTTTCACGGCAGTAAGAATGAGTAAAGGGATCAGTTCATCTCTGTGGGTCTCCAGGTAGCTAAAATCACAACAATAATAACCATAATAATAACTTCAATGCATTTGTTGCTGCCTGTTTGCCAGGTTGTGTAATATTTTTCTATGGTTTTTCACATAACTCTTATAATAAAATGAGATGGCACTGTTATTATTATCCTCATTTTACATATTATAAAATTGAGACACAGAAAAGTAATGTCATATAGTCAAGGTCCTATAATTAGTAATAATGAAAAGCAAGATTGCAGCTCTGTTCTTTCTGGCTCTAAATGTGGTGTTTTTAATCCTGTGCTATGCTGATTCTTACAATCAGTAGATAAGGGCTTGAATATATGGTTATGCATCTAACCTTTAGAGCCTATTTGAGATGTCTCCTTCTACATCAATCCCTTCATAACCCACCACACTTTCAAATTCCCTTTCCCCTCTTTTCATTTGCTATGTATTTGTCACATCTTTTACAGCACTGTATTCTTTATTCTATTAGTCATTTACCACATTTTCTTATTTCTCAGATTCAGTTCTAAGAACCTAGTAGGCAGGATCCATGTCCATTATTAAGCTCCAGCATGCCACAGGTGTTTAGTAAATGTGTGTTGAGAAGTCAGCTGAAACCCCTCTCCTCTGGTCCTGCTACTTGCTACCTAAACTCTCTCAGTGCCATTTTAAAAAGTATGCTGAAGCTGAGATTTCCTTTGGCTAAGTCCTATTGCTTGGCTTCTTTTTTGACTAGATATGCAAGTCATTAAATATAATATATGATTTTTGGAAATATAAATAGGGATACAGTAAGTCAATGACTGTTATACTCAGCTATTCTCACTAATAATCTATAAAGTAAAAAACACAGCCTTTTTTCCCCCTTCATGACTTCTCAACACACATTTACTAAACACCTGTGGCATGCTGGTGCTTAATAATGGACATGGATCCTGCCCACTAGCTTCTTAGAATTGAATCTGAGAATTCTATAAAACAATTAAGTAGTCTGTCTTTGTGGTATATGAAATATTTGTAATTTATAAGGTACTGATCCTTTTAGAATCAATGTAATAATAATTGTCCCTATCTCGTTGCACATGACATCTCCTTACTCTAGAGCTTTTCTTATATATTTAATATTCATCAGGTGTCTTCACAGTGCTGTCTCATCTGTTAATTATTTCCTTTACCCATAAAATATTTAATAACATATTCTGTGTATGTCACTGTATAAGACACTGGGAATATAAAAATATTTTAGTATAACTATCAAGAAGAATCATATTCAAGGCACATTAACAGGCAAAGGAAGGAGTTGATGTTCATTAGGGTGGTATGGAAGGCATTATAGAAATTATGTGAAGAACATCTTGAAGGAGGATAAGAATGTTATCAGATAGACAAGGAGGTAATAGGATGAAGGAAAAATTAGATATAAAGATGTTAAAAAATATGACACTTTGGGGAAATGTAAATAATTATATGGGTGCTAAGTATGAATGGCAACAAAGGAGTGTAAAAGCCAAGTTAACACAGTAAGTTTTCAATAAGTCATTGTACAACATACCAGTTCAAGGTGCTTTCAGTCCTTCTGCAGACAACAGTTCAGGGAAAATTAAGTAGCAGGAACCATGTCTAGATGCTATTGTTGTTTAGTGATCATAATGGATTCTACCATTTTCTTTTCTTTTCTTTTCTTTTTTTTTTTGAGGTGGAGTCTCGCTCTCACCCAGGCTGGAGTGCAGTGGCGCGATCTTGACTCACTGCAACCTCCCGCCTCCCAGGTTCAGGCAATTCTCCTGCCCAGAAACTAGCTGGGACCACAAGCGCACACCACCACACCCGGCTAATTTTTGTATTTGAAGTAGAGACGGGGTTTCACCATGTTGGTCAGGCTGGTCTTGAACAGCTGACCTCAAGTGATCCACCCACCTCTACCTCCCAAAGTGCTGGGATTACAGGTGTGAGCCTTACTCCCGGCCTTCCACTTCAATTTTTATCAGGTGAGACAATAAGACAGGGTGATGCTCAGATCAGTTTCACCACATACCATTATTCTGGACATGTGGTATATTAGTTATCTATTTTTGGTGAGTAGAATACCCCCAACACTTATCAGCTTAAATCAGCATTTTATTCATATTAATAGTTTATGAGAATCAGGGATCCTGGAGCAGATTTGTGAAGGGTTTGAACTCAAGGTCTCACACAAGGTGGCAGTCAAGCTGTCAGCTGGGGCTGCAATCATCTGGAGGGTTGACATGGGCTACAGAATGTGATTCAAATATCAATTGTATAGGTTTGTTTATAACGAGAGAGAGAGAGAGAGAGAGAGAGAGAGAATTTTCAATGTCTTTTATGTCCTATAGATTCCAAAGTCTCACCCTGTCTCTTCTGTTTTATTCTATCAGACACACAGACCTTCCATAATAGAATGTGGGAAGGGAATACACAAGGACATGAGTACTAGGAGGTGGGGATTAGTTGGGGGTATCTTACACGATTATTACCACAGTGTGCCCTCTGGCTGTAATGATATGCATACCTCCCACATGTGAAACACACACTCCTATATACATTTACAATTCCTTTTCAATAGAAGAGAGAAATGAGTGGCACATAGTAGTCTTGGTTTCTAGCAATTCTGAGATCCAACTGGGAATATGTAGCAAGTTCTTTGATTAAGTCTCAGTTTGCTTCTGCCCAGACGTCATAGCCCTTGGCTTTCCCTTCTGGATCTTATTTCCACTGAGCCACTCTTCCTTTTATAGGAGATGCAGGTAAGTAGTCCTTCCAGCCTATTTCCTGCTAGGAGAAATTTGGCAGGCCCAAAGGCCTTTCATTTTGTACTCCTTCTGTCCCTTTTCATACAAGCCGGCATTGTTTCTATTGATATATTATCTTAAAAACTTTTTAAATCTCTTGTGAATCTTCTTGCAGTTCATTCCATTAGGTGAAATCCACACCCACAGATTTCTCCGAAATAAGCCCTTCTTTACCTTGGATCTCTACAGATAACACTCCTAGAAGCCCAGTCTGTCTGGAAGGACTTTTACCTGACAGAATGGTGTATGTGGAAGTACCATCTTCAAATTATCTAAGATAAACATAATTTTTAAACGTGGTATTTACTGCATCTTTGGACCTTGTTTTCCTTGCTCTTTGTTCAGAGGCCATGTCTTAATTTTAAAATCTTTTGCTACCTGTGGAAGCTTAAAAATTTAAAACTATGAAATCTCAACTTTTTACACATATATTAGCCTTTCCTTTTATTTACTTCTCTCATTTCTCATTTACTATAAGTAGCAGGAAAAAAAGAACACACGCTCAACATTTCAATGAACACTCTTCTTAATATCATTTCAGCTTGTAACCACTTCCTAGTTTTCAAGTTTTTAGATATTTGTTATGATAGCATACCCACATTGCAGTAGCAGAATCAGTATTACTTATCTAGCCTGCATAAAGTATTACTCCAAAATTCAGTGATTAAACATTTAATATCTAACATAATTTCTAAATATTAGGAAACTGAGTAGTGTAGCTAGTGATTCTGGCTCAAGATCACTCAGAAGGTTGCAGCCAAATATATGCTGAAGCTGTAGTCATCCAGAAGGTTGACTGGGGCTGAAGGAGCCAATCCAAGTCACTTGCATGGCAGTTGGTGGGAGGCCTCAGCTCCCTGTGACACGGACCTCTCCATATGACTGCTCATACAATGGCAGTTGGCTTTTCCCAGAGTAAGTTATTTTAGAAAGGTCTCCAGAATCACAATCTGGCATTTCTTTGTTTCTACTTTATTCTATTGGACACACAGACCAGCCCTGATATATTTTTGGAGGCAACTAAGCAAAGGGATGGGCATCAGAAGGAAGATCTATGAGGTCCATCTTAGAGGCTGGCAACTATGCATGGGTATAGTCACAGTCTCTACCTTCAGTGCTTTCATATGTGAAAGCAGCAGTTTTATATCTGTTGTGGTAAACACAGGTAATTAATTCAGCAGGTTAATTCTGTTTGATTTCTATAAAATTTGGAGGGGAAAGGGCGGGAGCTGTGAGTCTAATCTGATAAAACATAGTAAAAAGTATTTTCTGCTGTAACACATTTCAGACAATTCTTTTAAGGGGATAGATTATCCTCTATTTCTTCCTCATAAAATAACAAATTATGTTACCTTATGGGCTAAAGTGCATATTCAAATTATGCTAATTTATTTTTGATTAAGGAGAATGAGTGGAAGAGAGAAACTAACATTTGATAAAACTCTTAAAATGCAGAGACATTATACCATGTCTACATCAAGGTCAATATTATTTAATCCTTACCATAACACTGTAAGGTAATGATAATATCCTTCACTTTACACTTCCAGAAAATACAGCTATGAAAAGTTGAGAAACTTAGTTTAAACCATACAGCTAACTTTTCATTTACAACCATTATAGAATAATAGGGACTGGTTTTCTTTTTCATCTTAAGTTGTTGAACCTAAAAAATGGGCATAATATATGCAACAATAGTTTTCAGTTATTTCACAATCACTATTTAGGACAAGTAATTACCAAGATATGGGAAATTTCAAGGTGAGCCCTACTATTATGCCAGGTTGCTTTCTGGATAATGTCCAGGTTTTAGCATGGGAATTGGAGTCCTGAGAAAGCCTGGCACTCTTTCTCTCTATCAAAGTGACAGGATTGAAATATGAAGAGGTTGTGGTGGCTACAATTTTGGGGGCAGGTACCAGAGCAGAGAGTGGCATAGAGTGGAGGGAACTACGTTGTTTGCTCTAATTTGGCCTCGAGGTGTTTTTCTAGATAGTGACTATAATCAGTAGCTTTACTCTCATGGGGATCCAAGGGATGTGGTTTTGGATGTTTGCAGTTTGCCTTTGGGGGATACTTTTTTTTATCCTGGTAAATAACCTAATGCCTAAATATCTGACCCATGACCAGGTGTTCCTCTCAAAATGTGTTGTTTATACTCACAGATACCCTTGTATATCTTTTCTTACCCTTGTCCCATTTATTTCTACCATCATATCTACTCTTAAGGAGAGCCTTGACCAGGAGAAAAGTTAGGTCCAGGTGGGTAAGTCAGGTGAGACACAGAGGAGTCAACAGAACAAAAACATATAAAATAACAGAAGCCATTTATTATTTATAGGTCATCAAAAGAGAAGTACCAACAAGGGCCAATGGAAAGATCACAGGGGCCATGTGTTCAACGTGAAAGTGAGGAGCCGGAGAGAGAGATGAACCTGTGGGCCAAGGCCTTTACAGGGATCCGGGGTGTTACCCAAGGAACTTTCCTGTGGAGAGTTCTAATTCATGGGTTTAAAACGAGCATTCAGTGGGGCCATACTGTGACTAAGAGGTGATCATTAAGACATATCTATGCAGTCCATGTGGAGTGTGGGAGTCTGTGGGGCAAGTCAAGTAGATTGTATCTCTAAATCCCACAGGGAGGTGATCACCAGATGTATAAGGCAGATATCTGTCTTTTATAATGAAAAAGTGGGAGGAAGCAGAAAAGTGTAAATTGTGTTAAGAATAACTAAGCCTTGCTTCTGGTATGAGAAAGTTAAACATATTTTCAAAATGGATACCAAGGTGACATAAAATTACAAGAATTCACTACAGCCTACATAAAAAGCAGGCGAGATCTACAGAGAGTTCCACCTGAATCTTCCACTGAGTAATGGCTGTGCATGAGTGTGATGAATTAATCAAGACCAAGGAAAGAAACACCACAAAGAGGCAAGAGGAAGAGGCTGTGAGGCTCACAAATGGCCAGAAACAGTTTGTGTTCCCACTAAACAGGGTGAAAAATGTCATCATAATTCATGAAGCATCAGGTAGAGGACTCAGGAGGCTATCACCTGAATAGGGTGGAAAAAAACGGCACTGTTCCAGACCAACTTAAGAAAGCTAAGAAAGCAGGCTTCAAAGGAAAAAACTGATCCTAAGAAATTGAACTGCACCACAGAACCACAGAATAAAGCTCAAGAATATTTAAGGAAACGAATACCTAGTACTCATCAAGCTAAAGTTCACAATGCCTGACATCTAATAAAATATCGACAGATGTGAAGGAAGTGGAAAATATATGACCACAAATAAGGAGAAAAATAAATCAATAAAAAACAAAAAGACAAGGTGACAATTAGTAAACAAGAACATAAAAGAGTTAAAATACATTCCATCTGGTAAAGAAAGTAGGCAAAACCATGGCCACTTTAAAGAGAAGCATAGAAGACAGAAAAATTCAAAATTGAATTTCCAGAGATAAAAACTAATTGCATGAGATGAAAACTATCCTGAAGAGGGTAAGGAGCAGAATAGACACACTGGGAAAAAATATTGGTGAAATTGATGCATAATAAAATAAACTGTCTAAAATGAAACACATAGGCAAAAGAAGTTTAAAAATCATAGCATCAGAGAGTTATGGAAAAAAACTTACTCTGCCTCATATTATGCATAACTGGGGCCATAGAAAGGCATTAAAATGCATGAAAAAATAATGGCCAATACACATCATAATCAAATTGATTAAAAATTGGTAAAGAGAAATATTAAGGGTATCCAGAGATAAAACAGAGATATTTTGTGCAGAGAATCAGAGGTAAAAATAACAAGGAAATTATTTATTGTTAGAAACAAGGCTTGTCAGAAGACAATGAAGCGGTATCCTGAAACTTCTGGAAACAAACAAAAAGTCAACTAAGAATTCTGTGACCAATGACTAGGTCTAACAAAAATGAAGATAAAATAAAGTGTTTTTCAAATATAAAATGTTGAAATAATTCAACAGCAGGTTTTCACTAAAAGAAATTTTAAAGGAAGTCCTTCAGAGAGAAAAAAATAATAGATGGCAAATATGTGAATGAATATATTTTCTCTTTTAAAAATATGTTTGAAGATAATTGACAATACAAAAACAATAACAATGTATTATGTAGAGTTTATGAAATATGTACAAATAAAATTTATATTAACAACAATACAAAGAATTGCAGAAGAAGAATAAAGTGCTCTGGTGTTACCAGTGTACATAGAGTATATCACTAAATAATTTAAAAATGTATGCTATAAATCCTAAAAGAACAACTATAAATCCTAAAGAATAACTATTCATATTTTATTAATACATAGGTAAAACTAATAAACTAACAAAGAAGATAAAGTAAAATAGTTAAAAATGTTTAATTAATCTAAAATAAGTCAGAAAATGAGAAAAATGTTGATAAAGTAAAAATGAGACAAATGGGAATAAATAGCAAGATGGAAGATGTAATCCAAACTATATTTGTAATCATATCAAATGTAAATGATGTAAACACCAATCAAAAAGCAGAAAAATCAGGTTGCATGTTATCAAGGCTCTATGCTGCCTAAAATAAATTCATCTTAATTATAAAGACAAATCAAATGATAGGAAATACTATATCATGCTAACACTATCAAAAGAAAGGTAGAATGGCAAACTTAATATCACAGTATAATTCAGAGTAAAAATTATTACAAAGAATAACTGAATAATTTCATAATTACAAAGAATTAATTCATCAAGAAGATAATAATGCATCTAATAGCAGAACTTCACAAGACAGAAAGCATAATCTTATACTAATAAAAGGAGGAATAAATCCAAAAGATATTTGAGCATATCTCTCAACATTTCACAGAACAAGCAGACAGACAATTAGCAAAGATATATAAAACTTTAACCTCATTATCAACTTATCTGATTTATTTGACATTTAGGCAACTTTTCATCCAACATCATAATATGTGTATTATACAAGTACATAAGAAACATTACAAAATTAGACCATCTTCTGGTTCATTAAACAAACCTTATTAAATGTGTATTTTCTGACTACAATGAAATTAAACCATAATCAATAATACAAAGACAGCTGGAAAATTACCAAATACTTGGAAACTAAATTGCTCACTTATACATGGTTTGAAGAAAAATAAAAAAATAGAGATTAGAAAGTATTTTTAAGTGAACAAAAATAAAAACATGGCATTACAAAAATTGTAGATGCAACTAAAGCAGTAATCAGAGAAAAATTAGAGCATTAAAAGTCTATGTTAAATAAGAAGTAAAGTCTCAGATAATGACTTTTTAATTTTTGCCTCAGGACACTTGGAAAGTTGAGCAAATTAAATCTATAATAAGTAGAGAAAAGGAAACGATGAAAAGCAGAAATCATTAAAATAAAAAACAGTTACACAATACAGAAAATCAAAGAAACCAAAAGCTAGTTTTTTGAGAAAATTAATAAAATTAATAAACCCCTAGCCAGACTGCAGAGAGAGAGAGAAATCAACATTAAAGGAATAATAGGAAAATATTTTGAAAAGTAAAAATTTCATGTCATTAATTTCAACCACTTTGAAAAAAATCAAATTCAAATTTTAGTAAAGAAATAACTTAAATGTGTGTGTGTGTGTAAATTTCCCACAAAGAAAACAGGGGGCTTCATTAGTGAATTCTATTTAACATTTATGGGGAAAATACTGATTATATTAGGTTTGTGCAAACATAATTGAGGTTTCAAACCATGAATTTCAAATCATTATAACTAGGCTCAAGCACATCTTTATTAATCAAAATAGGAAGCATTATAATGAACACATTTTTGCCAGCAAGGTATGTTTGTTTATTCCTGTAGCATAACAATCCATGCTTCAGGATTTGACAAAGTCTTGGAAAGCAAGTAGTCTGTTTTGTCAGAGACTGGGATTGCAATCCCTCCTTTTTTCTCTTTTTCATTTGATCATAAATTTTCCTCTATCCCTTTATTTTGAGCCTATGAGTGTCTTTGCATGTGAGATGGGTCTCTTGAAGACAGCACACTGATGGGGCTTTACACTTTATCCAGTTTGCCATTCCGAATTTTTTAATTGGGGCATTTAGTCCAATTACATTTAAGGTTATTATTGTTACGTGTGAATTTTATCCTGTCATCATGATGCTAGTTTATTATGATGCAGAGTTGTTTATGTGGTTGCTTCATAGTGTCATTGGTCTGTGTACTTCAGTGAGCTTTTGCAGTGGCTGATAATGGTTTTTCCTTTCCATATTTAGTGCTTCCTTCAGGAGCTCTTGCAAAGCAGGCCTGGTGGTCAGCTGATTTTTGTTCAAAAGTACTAAAGTGATTCAATGTGGGAAAAGATAACCTTTCCAATAAGTTGCCCCCAAAGTTTTGAGTAACTATATATAAAAAAGTAAATCTCAAACCTTTCCTCATAGAATGTATGAAAATTAACTGAAAATAGATTACAGACCTAAAGCTAAAACTATCAAACATCTAGATTTAAACAACAGAAGATTTTGGATTTGGCAAAGATGTTTCAATAGGACATAAAAACATAAAATAATAAATAGGTCTTTATAAAAATTTAAAAGTTTTTCCCTTTAGGAGACTCCATTAGATAAGAGAAAGAAGAAACCCATTGACTGGAAAAAACATATTTGCAAAACATGCATTTCACAAAGAACTTACATTTGTAGTATATTAAACAGAACACTTCAACTCAATAATAAGTAAAAAAGGCCAACATTAAAACTGGAAAAATATTTCAACAGACACCTTATAAAAGGAGATATTAAGATGGCAAATAAATATGTAAAAATTTACTCAACATCAGCCATTAGGAAAATGCAAATTAAAACTACAACAAGTTAATGCTTTACAAGCTGCTAACATACCTACAGTTGAATGGTGACAAGAGTTGGTGACAGGCTGGAACTTTAATACACTGCAAATTGGAATGTAAAATGATATAAGCCCTTAGAAAAATTTTTTCTATTTTTCCAAAAGTTAAACATAAGCATGCTATGCATTCTAGCCATTGGATTAGTAGGATTCACCTAAAAAAAATATAAATAAAAGCAAACACCCAAAGATTTGTATATAAAATTTCACAGCAGTTTTATTCTTATTAGCCAAAACCTAGAAACAACCAAATTATCAAACTCTCTGTTTACTTTTCCTGTATTTGTTTCCATGCAAATGAACAGACATGTGTTTGTGTTCTAATGTCTCTTTTTCTTATACAAATATTATCAACATAAAGTAGGCTGAGGAGAGGAAGAGGAGAGGTTGGTTTTGTTGTCTAGGTGGTGGCAGAGGCAGAAGAAAATACACATATAAGTGGACCTGCACAGTTCAAACCTGTGTTATTCAATTGTCACCTGTATGTATGTGTATATATATGTGTGTGTATATATATATGTGTGTGTATAGATATACACACATATATACATACATATATACACATATATATGTGTATATATACATATATGTGTGTATATATACATATGTGTATATATACATATATGAGTGTATATACACATATGTGTATATACATATATATGTATATGTATGTGTGTGTATATGTATATATGTGTGTATGTATATATGTATATGTACATATATATGTGTATATATGTGTATATATACATATATGTGTGTGTATATATATATACATACATACATATATATATATATATATGTTGCAAATGTATTCTCCCAGTTTGTCAGTCTTTTAATTAACTTCATTTGTAGTGGGTTTTGTTTTTGTTCATGAAAAGTGTTTTTAGAAATTATATGTATTCAAATTTATCAATTTTTTAATTGTATCTGGATTTTGATTTACAGTTAGAATGCCATTCTCTACACCTATGTAAAGAAGAATGCACTGCAATTTAACCTGTTTTATTTAAAGGGGAATAAAACATTTACAAATGTTGCTGTCTTCCATTACCTTCATGGTGTGATGTCTTACTCTTACATTGCCGATCTTTTCAGAGTGCATTCTTAAAGACGGGCCAAAGGATGGATCAAAATTATATTCCAAATGACTAATTGTCCCAGTACCATCTATTAAAAAGTCAATTGTGACTCAGTGATTTGAGGTGCCGTTTTTTTCTACTCGATAGACTTCCATATTAATTTGGGTCTATTTTTATGCATTCTATTCTATTCTGCCTCTTTTTCTATTCCTGTGAACTTTCTGTCGACTTAGATTAACACATACTTTTATACATCTCATGTGTCTAAGATTTCCCTTCTTATCACCAACCTAGAGAAATGTCTTCTGCAAGTTTATACTTGCTCCTAGAACACTGCTATAAAGTTTGCCCAAAATTTAACATCTTACCTGTTCCCTTCACTTCACTTCACTCCATGTGAGTCCACTGATATCCTCTTAGAAATACTGAAAAATAGCAATCAATTGATTTCATTACTTTACAATAAAATAATTTGACACAAAATAAATACTCATCTTAAGTTTGATGGTCCTGTCAGTACTGAAGTATTTCCTGAATACTATTTCATTCTGTACATCATTGCATGGCTGTCAGAGGTTCAGCTTTATCCAGCAAGAGCATCCAGCACATGAAATTCAAGGCTGTGCTTTAATGCTGAGACAAAATTTGGAGCATGGAAACTATCAAGTTTATTTCTTGGGGTATGTAAATGGAAGGAGTATGAAAATCTAAACATTTGTCTCTCAAAATAACTTTTACTTACTTCTTCATTGATGGTAGATACAATTGCTTGTTCAGTTGACAACGACCAAAAATGGAGTGGATAAGTCAGCCAAATGATAGGCAAAGAAGAAATTTGAGATATTCTTTCCTGCAATATTGGTTTCACACATGTCATGGCAGAAACATAGGTTGTTTAGATTAAGGTGTGTGGTACAGGCATGCCTCATTTTCTTTGCTTTATGGCACCTGCCCAAATAAAAACCATGAACTCAATTGATAAATACTGTGTATGTATGTTCTGCCTACTCCACCAGCCAGCCCTTCCCCTGACTCTCCCTCCTCTTTGGACTTCTTATTCCCTGAGACAAAATAGTATTGAAACTAAGCCAATTAATAACCCTACAAGGGCCTCTAAGTGTTCAGATGAAAGAAAGAGTTGCATGTCTCTCACTTTAAATCAAAAGCTACAAATGATTAAGCTTAGTGAGGAAAGCATGAAGAAAGCCAATAAATAATGAAAGAAAGGCCTCTTATTCCATACTGTTAACAAAGGAAAAGTTCTTGAAAGAAATTAAAAGTGTTACTCCAGTGAACATATGAATTATAAGGAAGTAAAACAACCTTATTGCTGATATGGAGAAAGTTTTAGTAATCTGAATAGAAGACCAAACCAGCCACATTGTCTCAAGCTAAAGAGAAATCAAGAGAAAGGTCCTAACTTTCTTCCGTTCTACAAAGCCTGAGAGAGGTGAAGAAGCTGCAGAAGAAAAGTGTGAAGTTATTAGAAGTTGGTTCACAAGGTTTAAGGAAAGAAGCTGTCTCCATAACATAGAATTGTAAGGTGAAGAAGAAAGTGCTGATGTAGAAGCTGCAGCAAGTTATTCAGATATTCAGAAGGTCTAATGAAGAGAATAGATGAAATTCAATGCCTGATTTAAAAGGCTAAAAGGATAGGCTGATTCTCTTGTTAGGGGCTAACACAGCTGATGACTTTAAGTTGAAGCCAATGCCCTGCTAATATTCCAAAAATTCTAGGGCCCTTAAGCCCTTAAGAATTATGCTAAATCTACTCTGCCTGTGCCTATAAGTGGAACAACAAAGCCTAGATCACAACATATCTGTTTACAGCATAGTTTACTGAATATTTTTAACCCACCATTGGAACCTACTTCTCAGAAAAAAATAATTTTATTTTAAAATATTACTACTCATCAATAATGCACCTAGTCAAGCAAGAGCTCTGATGGAGATGTACAGGGAGATTAATGTTTTCATGCCTGCTAAACAACATCCATTTTTCAGCCCATGGATCAAGAAGTAATTTCAACCTACAAGTCATTATTTAAGAAATACATATTATAAGGCTATAGCTGCCATAAATAGCAGTTATTCCGCTGATGGATCCAAGCAATGGAAATTGGAAACCTTCTAAAAGGATTCATCATTCTAGATGCCATTAAGAACATCTGTGATTCACGGGCAAATGTTAAAATATCGTTATTAACAGGAGTTCAGAAGAAGTTAACTCCAACCCTTATAGATGACTTTGAGGGATTCAAGACTTCAATAAAAGAAATAACTGCATGTGTTATGGAAATAGGAAGAAAACTAGAATTAAAAATGGAGTCTAAAGATGTTACAAAATTGCTACAATGTCATGATAAAACTTGAATGAATAAGGAGTTGCTTCTTGTGAATGAGCAAAAAAAGTGGTTTCTTGAGATGGAATTCAGTCCCAGTGAAGATACTGTGAAAACTGTTGAAATGAGAACTAAGGATTTAGAGAATTACATAAACTTAGTCAGTAAAGCAGGGACAGGGTTTGAGAGAATTGACTCCAATTTTGAAGGATGTTCTATTGTGGGTAAAATGCTATCAATCAGCACCACATGCTACAGAGAACTCTTTTGTTAAAGGAAGACTCAATCAATGTGGCAAAGTTCCTTGTCTTATTTTAAGAAATTACCACAGCTACCCCAGCCTTCAGCAACTACTGCCATGATTAGTCAGCAGCCATCAATATTGAGGCAAAACTTCTCACCAGCAAAAAATTATGACTCACTAAAGGCCCAGATAATCACTAGCATTTTTAGCTATGAAGTATTTTTAATGAACGTATGTACTTTTTAAAGACTTGAACACTTAATAGACTACAGTATCATATAAAGATAAATGTATATGCACTGAAAAACCAGAAAATGTGTGTGACTTACTTTCATATGACCTTTTCTTTATTGTGGTTGTCTGGAACCAAACCTGCAGTATCTCCAAGGTATGTCTGTATTTTCTATTTTGTTGTTCATTTCAAATGGACCATGTATTAAATTCCTCTTGAAATTTAGTTCTATGGGGAAAAAATGCTGTTTCCAAGGCTAGATCCACTACACCTAAATAATCTCATAAGCTACATCGTATCGTTTTGGTGGGGCTTGAAGGGGGATGGAGCATCAAACAATCAACCAAATAAATAACTTTGTAGTCTTATGGTGTCCAGAAATAGAAAAATAGATGCTTGTTTGACATAATCACCACAAGGAGCAGCGTAGTAGGGGGGCAAGAAAAGAAATCTTTCAATGTGAAATTAAATGGACCATGAAAGGTAAAATCAAGCTAATTGATTATTCTTACAGGAAAAAGTCAAAGATATCTAAATGCTGATATCGATATCTCTGTTAAAATAAATGAAAATTCCTTCTTCAAAAAATTTGCCTTAAGTTTTAAATTCACCAGAAAATAAAATAGTCAAAATGTTAAATGATAAGTATATTAAACCTTTTATCTTGCTCTCCACAATGATAGAGGACAGATTTTGAAGTTGTGGAGTACAGTATTAAGATTAGTGACAACACATGAAGTGAATTGACTGATTATGCGTACTCTCTACTTTGGGACTAGACATGCCACTTGATAATTAAAGTGTCAGTGAACTCAAGAATATATGTAAAATTTGTGTAAAGAGATTATTACTGTAAGAGTTGTTGATTTTTCCATGCAAATGGTGTCATTAAATAACGTGTATTCGCTACGAAGATTTTATTTAATGCCACATAAATATTTACAATAACAGGCATCGCAACACAACTTCATGGGCCAAATTTTTAGACTAAAGAGGAAAACCAATGTAAGAAATTTTATGTTAACTTGTCAAGAGTGAGAAATAAAGACCCAGGATCACTTTGGACCTTTGAAGGGTCATTTTAATATATTTTCTATGCCTTTTATTTAATGAAAGCTTTATTCTTACTTTTATATATGTATTTTATATATTTTCTATGCCCTTTATTTCATGAAAGCATAAGGAGGAACAGAAGAAAGTCATTGGTAGCTTGATGGGGATGGCACTGAATCTATAAATTACCTTGGGCAGTATGGCCATTTTCACAATATTGATTCTTCCTATCCATGAGCATGGAATGTTCTTTCTTCAAAGAATTGGAAAAAACTACTTTAAACTTCATATGGAAACAAAAAAGAGCCCACATTACCAAGTCAATCCTAAGAAAAAGAACAAAGCTGGAGGCATCATGCTACCTGACTTCAAACTATACTAAAAGGCTACAGTAACCAAAACAACATGGTACTGGTACCAAAACAGAGATATAGACCAATGGAACAGAACAGAGCCCTCAGAAATGATACCACACATCTACAACTATCTGATCTTTGACAAACCTGACAAAAACAAGAAATGGGGAAAGGATTCCCTATTTAACAAATGGTGCTGGGAAAACTGGCTAGCCATATGTAGAAAGCTGAAACTGCATCCCTTCCTTACACCTTATACAAAAATTAATTCAAGATGGATTAAAGACTTACATGTTAGACCTAAAACCATAAAAACCCTAGAAGAAAACCTAGGCAATACCATTCAGGACATAGGCATGGGCAAGGACTTCATGTCTAAAACACCAAAAGCAATGGCAACAAAAGCCAAAATTGGCAAATGGGATCTAATTAAACTAAAGAGCTTCTGCACAGCAAAAGAAACTACCATCAGAGTGAACAGGCAACCTACAGAATGGGAGAAAATTTTTGCAATCTACTCATCTGACAAAGGGCTAATATCCAGAATCTACAAAGAACTCAAACAAATTTACAAGAAAAAAACAACCGCATCAAAAACTGGGCAAAGGACATGAACAGACACTTCTCAAAAGAAGACATTTATGCAGCCAAAAGACACATGAAGAAATGCTCACCATCACTGGCCATCAGAGAAATGCAAATCAAAACCACAATGAGATACCATCTCACACCGGTTAGAATGGTGATCATTAAAAAGTCAGGAAACAACAGGTGCTGGAGAGGATGTGGAGAAATAGGAACACTTTTACACTGTTGGTGGGACTGTAAACTAGTTCAACCATTGTGGAAGACAGTGTGGCAATTATTCAGGGATCTAGAACTAGAAATACCATTTGACCCAGCCATCCCATTACTTAGTATATACCCAAAGGAATATAAATCATGCTGCTATAAAGACACATGCACACATATGTTTATTGTGGCACTACTCACAATAGCAAAGACTTGGAACCAACCCAAATGTCCAACAATGATAGACTGGATTAAGAAAATGTTGCACATATACACCATGGAATACTATGCAGCCATATAAAACGGTGAGTTCATGTCCTTTGTAGGGACATGGATGAAGCTGGAAACCATCATTCTCAGCAAACTATCTCAAGGACAAAAAAACCAAACACCACGTGTTCTCACTCATAGGTGGAAACTGAACATTGAGAACACTTGGACACAGGGAGGGGAACATCACACACCGGGGCCTGTTGTGGGGTGGGGGGAGGGGGTAGGGATAGCATTAGGAGATACACCTAATGTAAATGACAAGTTAATGGGTGCAGCACACCAACATGGCACATGTATACATATGTAACAAACCTGCACGTTGTGCACATGTACCCTAAAACTTAAAGTACAATTAAAAAAAAAAAAATATATATATATATATAGGACAGAAGATAACCATAAGCAGTTTGTGTTTCTTCAGTATGATATATAAGGCAAAAAATGGTGACAGACAATGTTTATTGAATGCTTACCATTTCCTGAATATTGTGATATACTTTTATAAACATCTTAAATATTCACAAAATTGAAGAAAATTACAACTCAGAGAAATTAAGCAAATTCTAAATGACAGTGCTATACAATAGAGACTGACTGAAAATTTTTAAGCAAGAAAATGATGTTACTGTGTATTTATTGTTAGTCCTCTATTATTGACTCCTAAACGTGTTAGTCCTGTATTATTGACTCCTAAAGGAGTTCATAGTACATTAAAGCTATAATGGGCCTTAGAGACCATCTAGCTCAACAATTTAAACTTACACAATAAGGAATTGGAGCTTACAGAAGCACATTAATCTGCTAAGGCCGTACAGATTTGGTGGTAGAGTATGATTATAATCAAGGACTCCAGATTTATCCTGCATCTTTATGCTGTACTTCTTTCATTAACACTCTTTTCCCAGCTTTTTTTTTTTTTAATTTCAATCATCTGTTCAAACCAGTTGCAATGACTCTAACTCTTACCCTCAGGGCATCTCCTTCTTTCCTTTGTTTTTCAAATTTGTCATATCTATTGTGCAGTTTAAAACACAAAAGAAGCTGACAATGCTTTTCCATTACATGGAATGAGAATAGTTGGCATTCTTTCATGCTCCTTTAGTCATTTCAAACAGACTTACTTTCATCCTATTAGAGCTTTTTGACCAAACTCCTGATAATTACCTCATTAAAGTTAACTCTTCTAATAAACTCCCCTGAGAATTGTCAAGAAGGTATTTTTGAGATGGTATTGGGAAAAGATTGTGGACTTAGGAGCCTAGATAGCAGGGCTAATGGTCCTGTTCCATCACCTACAGGTCTAGTGATTAGGACCAATTACTTAATACTTTAGTGAATTAGTGGTGGCATTAAATAACAACCTTGCCAACTTGTTGTATAAAACTCCTACCATGATAAATAGGTATATTTTTGTGTTCAGCACATACTTTAGGAGAAATAAAGTTTTTTCTCTTGAAAAAAATTGTATTTATTTTAAATTTACACATAATACTTGTACATTTTGTGGGGTACAGTATGTTTTAATACATGCATACATTGCATATTGCTGATGCTGTGCAATGTACACATGTACTAAAACATCACACTGTACCCCATAAAAATGTGCTAATTACACATCAACTCAGACATTTATCATTTCTTTTTAGTGAGAACATTCAAAATCCTTTTGTAGCTATTTTGAAATATATAATGTTTTATTGTTAACTATAGTCACCCTAATGTGTAATGCAACACTAGAACTTATTCCTCCTTCATAACTGTAACTTTATACCCATTAACCAACCTCTCCTTATCCTTCCATATCCTTTACTTTTCCAGCCTCTGGTCACCATTATTCAACTCTCTACTTTTTTAGATTTCACATATGAGTGAGATAATGAGGTATTTGTTTTTCTGTGCCTAGTTTATTTCATTTAACATAATGTCTTCCAGGCTCATCCATGTTGCTGCAAATGGCAGCATTTCATTATTTTTATGGCTAAATAGTATTTCATTGTGTAAATATACCATATTTTATTTATCCTTTCATTCATTTATGGACACGGGTTGATTTCATATTTTGGCTCTTGTTAATACTGTTGCAATGAGTATAGATGAGCAGATATCTCTTTGACAAACCAATTTCATTTCTTTTGGCTATACGCCCAGTAGTGGGATTGCAAGATCAAATGTTAGTTCCATTTTTAATTTGGGGGCAAACCTCCATACTATTTTTCATAATGGCTGTATGAATTTACATTCCCACAAAAGTATACTAGAGTTCCCCTTTCTCCACATTCATGTCATTTTTTTTTTTGTCATTTTAATAACAATCATTCTAACTGGACTGAGATTATATCTCATAGTGGCTTTGATTTAGATTTCCCTAATTAGTATTAATGTTGAGCGTTTTTTAATATACTTGTAGGCCATTTGCGTGTCTTCTTTTGTGAAATGTCTATCCATATGTTTTGGCCTTTTTTAAGTCATTATTTGATTTTTTTGCTATTTAAATGTTTGAGTTCCTTATATATTCTAGATATTAACCCTTTTCAGATTTATAGTTTGAGCATATTTTATCGCATTATGTAGATAATGTAGATTATTTCTTCACTCTATTTTTTTCCTTTTCTGTGCAGAGGTTTTTAATTTGATATTATTCCATTTGTCTGTTTTTATTTTGTTGCCTGTGCTTTTGAGGTTTTATCAAAAAAACTTGCCTAGACCAATATCACAAAATAAATGTTTTCTGTATATTTTTTCTTTTAAGAGTTTCATACTTTAGGATCTTACATTTAAGTCTATTCCTTTCTGAGTTGATTTTTGTAAGTACAGAGTAATAGGTATCTAGTTTCATCCTTCTGTGTGTGGATATATAGTTTCCTCAGCACTGTTTATTGGAGAGACTGTCCTTTTCCCATCCTTGTTCTTGTCAAAAATCAATTGGCTGTAAATCCTTGGATTGTCTGGGTTCTCTATGCTGCTCTCTTTATGCTGGTATCATGCTGTTTTGGTTACTATAGCTTTGTACTATATTTTGAAGTCAGATCATGTGATGCTTACAGATTTGTTCCTTTTTCTCAAAATTGCTTATGCTATTCACAGTTATTTTTGTTTCATACAAATTTTAGGATTTTTTATGTGTCTGTGAAGAATGTCTTGGGTGTTTTGTGACTGTAGATTGCTTTGGAAATTATGGACAGTTTAGCTACATTAATTCTTCCAATTCATGAACATGGTATCTTTTTCATGTATTTGTGTCCTAAACTTCTTTCATCAATACTTTGTAGCTTTCCATCATAGAGATCTTTTCCTTCCTTGATTAAATTTTTATATACGTTTTATTTTTGTTGATATCTATTGTAATGGGATTGCTATATTTTTTTGTCAGATTGTTCACTATTAGCATACAGAAAAGCTACTGAGATTTATATGTTGGTTTTATATCCTTCTGCATTACTAAATTTGTTTACTCATTCTAACAGTTTTTTGGTGTAGTCTTTAGCTTTTTCTCTATATAAAATTATGTCATCTGCAAACAGGGATAATTTGATTTCCTCCTTTCCAATTTGGATGTCCTTTATTTATTTCTCTTGCTTAACAGTCTGGCTGGGCTTTCCATTATTCTGTTAAATAAATGTGGTGAAAGTAGGCAACATTTTCTTGTTTCAGATTTGACAGGAAAAGCTTTCAACTTTTCCCTGTTCTTATATAATATTAGCTGTGGATTTGTCATATATGTGCTTTATTATGCTGAGGTATGTTCCTTCTATACATAATTTGTTGAGAGCGTTTATCACAAAATGGATGTTTAATGTTATCAAATGCCTTTTCTATTAGTCATATGATTTTTGTCCTTCGTTCTGTAAATATGATGTATTACAGTTATTAACTTGCATTTGTTGAACCATCTTTGCATCCCTGGGATGAATCCCACTTTACGAGGGGAGTAATCTTTTTGATATGCTGTGAGATTTGGTTTGCTGGTATTTTGTTGAGGATTGTGATATTGGCCTATAGTTTTCTTTTTGTGTTGTGTTCTTTTCTGGTTTGGATATCAGGACAATGCTAGGCTCTTAGAATTAATTTCGAATAATTCCCTCTCCTTCAGTTTTTTGGAATAGTTTGAGAAGAATTGGTATTAGTTCTTCTTTAGGTGTGTGGTGGAATGCAGCAGGAAACCATTAATTAGGTCTTGAGCTTTCCTTTGATTGGAGACTTTTCTAATACTGATTCAATCTTGGCACTCTTTATTGGTTTGTTCAGGTATTCAATTCCTCATAACAATCTTAGTAAGTTGTTTGTGTCCAGGAATTTGCCTTCTTCATTCAGGTTTTCCAATTTGTTGATATATATTCATAGTAGTCCCTCATGATTCTGTATATTTCCATGGTATAATTTATAATGACTCCTTTGTCATTCCTGATTTTATTTATTTGGGTCTTCTCTCTTTTTTCCTTAGTTTAGCAGAAGGCTGGTAAATTTATTTTGTTTATCTTTTCAAACAACACACTTGTTGCTTCATTGATTGTATTAGTCCATTTTCATGCTGCTGATAAAGACACACCAAAGACTGGGCACTTTGCAAAGGAAAGAGGTTTAGTGGAGAACTCACAGTTCCACGTGGCTGGGGAAACCTCACAATCATGGCAGAACGCAAGGAGGAGCAAGTCACATCTTACGTGGATAAGGCGAAGAGAGCTTGTGCTGGAAAACTCCCTGTTACAGCAACCATCAGATCTTGTGAGACTTACTCACTTTCACAAGAACAGCACAGGAAAGACCTGCCCCCATGATTCAATTACCTCGCACTTGGTCCCTCCCACAACATGTGGGAATTGAAGATGAGATTCGGGTGGGGACACAAACCATATCATTGTACATTTTTAGTCATTTATACATTTAGAGATTTTGCTATATCCCATAGGTTTCGTTATTTTGTGTTTCCCTTTTTATTTGTCTCAAAATATTTTTGTTAATTTTCTTAATTTATTCATTGAGCTATTGGTTATTGCAGAGCATGTTGTTTATTTCCATGTATTGTATAGATTCTAAAGTTCCTCCTGTTATTAATTTCTAACTTTAGTCCACTGGGGTCAGAGAGGGTACTTAATACAACTTGATTTTTTAAACTTCCTTATGACTTGTTTTGTGGTCTAACATGGTCTATTCTGCAGAATGTTCCATGTGCTGTTGAGAGTAATGTGCATTCTGAGGCTGTTGGATGGAATGTTCTTTAAATGTCTATTAGTTCTATTGTGTTTAGAATGTAGTTTAACACTAATCTTTCTTTGTAGACATTTTTTCTGAATGATCTATTGCTAAAAATGGGGTGTTAAAATCCCCTATTTATTGTGGTCTAACTCTGTCATTAGATCTATTAATATTTTCCGTATATATTTAAGTGTTCTCATATGGACTGCATACATATTTATAATTGCTAAATCCTTTCCCTGTAATGTCCCCTTCATCATTACATAAGGACCTTCTTTGTCTCTTTTTCCAGTTTTTGACTTAAAGTCTATTTTACCTGATATAAGTATAGCTACTTCTGCCTTCTTTTGGTTTCTGTTTGCATGGAATATCTTATTCCATCTCTTCACTTTTAGTCTCAATGTTTTTAACAGAGTGTTAAAAGATGAAGTGAGTTTTTTGTAGACAGCATATAATTTTTAAAAAATCAGTTTAGCTGTTCTGTGCCCTCTAATTGGAGAATTTAATCTATTTCTATTCAAGGTAACTACTGATGGGTAAGAACTCACTACAGCCATTTTGTTGCTTGTCTTCTAGTACTTTTGTAAACCCTTTCTTCCTTTCTCTCTTATTGTCTTTCCTTGTGCGTAAGTGTTTTTTTCTCACATGGTATGTTTCAATTCCTCCCTTTTTATTTTTAGTGTCTTTTATAGGTGTTTGTTTTATGGTTATCATCAGGTTTACAAAAAGTATTCTATTATCATAGCAAGTTATTTTAAACTGATAACAACTTAACTTTGAATGCAAAGAAAAGCAAATAACAAAAAAATGCATATTGAACTTCATTTTGTCCTTTAAAATTTTTGGTATTACATTTTATATTTTCTTATATTATTTATTTCATAACAAATTAATATAAATACTTTAGTAGTTTTGTATTTAGTCTTTATACTAAAGATATGCTTTACACACAATGATTACAGTAGTAAAGTATTAAAGTAAATATATTTTGTCCATATATCTTATTTTACCAATGGCTTTTATGTCTTCAGGTATACTTTTATACCTTCAGGTTTTCTTATTACATGATAGCATCCTTTTTTTCAGTTTAGAGAACTCCCCCAACCCTTTTTTTTTTTTTTTTTTTTTTGCATTACTTGTAGGACGGGTCTGATAGTAATAAATTCCTTTAGTTTGTTTGAGTGGAAGGTATTTATTGCTACTTTATTTCTGAAGACAGCTTTCCCCGGTGCTGTACTAGTGGCTGACAGTGTTTTCTGTTTCTTTGTTTCAGCACCCTAACTATATGTTCCCACTCCCTCCTGGCCTGCAAGGTTTCTGCTGAGAAGTCTGTTGCCAAGGGTATTTGAACACTCTTACATGTTTGCCTCTTTTCTTTCACATCTATCAGAATCCTCTCTTTGTCTTTGACCTTTGAGAGTCTGATTACAATATATATGTATTTTCAAATAGCTTATGTTCAAGTTAAATGATTCTTTCTTCTGTTTTTTTTTTTGACTCTACAGTTGATTGTTTCTATTGTATTTTTCATTTTGCTCATTGTCTTTTTTCAGCTCCAATATCCTATTTTTTATTATTATCTCTACTGAATTTCTCTGATGAGTTTCTGGACTATTTCTTTGTGTTTTCTTGAATTTTATTGAGTTTCCTTAAAACAGCTACTTCGATTTTATTTTCTAAGAGATCACACATCTTCAATAATTCAGGGTCAGTCTCTGGTGCTTTGTTTTGATGCTTTAGTGACATCATACTTCTTTTAATGTTGATTCTTGTGGATGTGTGATATTGCATGCACCTCGAGGGATTATGTATTTATTCCAAACTTCAAAATCTGGTTTTGCCTGTGCTCATTCTTCTCATTGGGCCTTCTAGAGGTTTTAACCAGTTCGTTGTGTTGCCAGAGCCTGTCACCACTGCAGCCGTCTAAACCCTAGAGGGTGCTCTGGTGCTCTAAGCACAGGTTTGCCACAAGTCTTGCAAAGGCTCTGTGGTCAGCATGATTTTTCTGGCCCAAATGGATCTGGGGAAAACTCAAGGTGGGGGTACCTCAGCTTTGTGGGAAAGCTGGCCAGAAACTTGAGCCAGAGATTTTCCCAGTGGCCCACACAGGTACACCCCCCAAGCACTACTCTTTAGAGGCAGAATGGTCCCTCAGTGGCAGTGAAACAGGTTGGAGCAGGGATTGGGCCCCCTCAGGATCTGCTATGAGACAGAGGCTGGTGACTTGTTTCATTGGCTCTGCCAGGCATACATCTCACTGAAGCTCCCTGCAGAAGTGGGATAGTTCACTAGCTGCAGTGAAAGGGCTTGGAACTGAATGAGGGCCCATTCAGAATCTGCTGTCGGGTAGAGGCTGGTACACTCATCTCCTTGGATCAGATAGGTATGTATCTCCTAGCATGTCTCTCCACCAGTGAGAGTGGTCTCCAACTGCAGCACAAAGGGTCAGAGCTGAGACAGGGCCCCTTTGGGATCTGCTGTGGGATGGCTAACTGTGAGCCTTTCTCTTTGGCTCAGATGGGTGCATGTATCTCAGCAGCACCTTAAACAGGCAGGAGAGGTTCCTGACTACAGCATGTGTGGCTGGAGGTGAGCTGGGCCTCCTGGTGATCTGTTGTGAAATGGAGGTTGGGAGTACATCTCCTTGGTTCAGATGGGTGTGTGTCTCTCAGGAGGTCTTGGCACAGGTAAGATAGGCCTCTGACTGCAGCAGGAGAAAATGGAGCTGATAAAGGGGCTTTTTGGCCCTCCTGTAGGATGGTGGCTGTCAAGCCCATCTCACTGAGTAAGGCAGGCATGTGTTTCCCAGCAGGATCCTGCACAGGCAGAGTAGTTCATGGACTATAGTGCGAGGAGCTGGAGCCAAAATAGGGCCCCCTCAGGATATGATGTGAGACAGAGGCTGGTGAGCCTGTTTCATTAGTTCTGCTGGATGCACATATCCTTGTGGGTCCCTGCACAGATGGGATAGTTTTCTGATTGCAACAAGAGGTCCCAGAGGTGAGACTGGGCTTGCTCAAGATCTGCTATGGGATGAAGGCTGGTAAGCCCCTTATGGAGGCTCAGATTCTGTGTGCAACATATGGGCAAGTCTCTCTGCGGTCCTTGTGTGAGCAGTTCTAAGCTGGAACTTCAACTGGGCTGGACTGGAATTGAGCCACAGGACAAGTTTCAGGTCCATTGCAGAGATCAATGTCAGCAGGAAAATTATCTTTTCTTGCTGAGACACTGGTGTTCGTGATTCCTTTTGGCTCCCTTGGCAAATGGTTTTAGTTGTAGGCTCAAGGCCAAATGGTGCTGTAGCCAAAGCCTTTGGGGAATGGAACTGATTCTGGGTTTGAACCTGAGAACATCATCAGTGGATCCGCAACCTGGTTGCTGTTCTGCATTCTCAAAACAGTCTTCCTGGGTCCTGTGCTTTACCAGGGTTTCACAAAACTCCTACCTAAATACCAAGGCTACTACAGAGAGACTTTTACCTGTGGATGGCTACAGAATTCTTGTTGTTGGGGAATTTGAGCACATTGCCTTCTACTGTGTCATCTCGATGTCACTTTTCCTCTTTTTATTTGTTATTTTTTTGTAGTCCACTATGTTGCTAAAAGTAAAGGTGGTCATACAAGTGGATAATAAATTGTAAGACCTTAATTGCTTGTAATAGTTAACATATAGCTGAATGCCAGGTGATGAAACAATTTTAATTTTTTATGAGAAAACAATTTTAAAGATTGATTTTTCTCATGAAGCTATGACAGGCATTATACAACTTTAGAGTAGTTAAGAAAAAAAATATCTAAAATATGGAAACAACACAAAAAGATGATTTTATGTTTTTCTGTGCCACACTCAAGCACTAATAGACCTATCCAAATTTTCCAAGAGTATTTAAAAAATGCAAAGTTATGTAGCCACTAAAAAAAGTAATGTGAAAATGGTTTGCTAAATAAAACACATAATTAAAGGTTATCTTGTTTTTAAGGTGAATTAACTCATAAGTAAATTTCTCGTGCTATTGATTAGGACCCTACTCATAGATTCTATGAATATTGTGAATTCATTAAACTAAAAAAAATTCTGAACTTGCAATTTTTTTTAGAAAAAATGAAGGTTATTTTTGTATAGTAGAAAAGATAACCCCAAAGGCTATAGTATAATTGGCATGTAGGATATTAGCCAGTTTTGTGTTTTAACTTGACAAATGTATTTATACATTTCTTTTCTGGCTGATTGCAAAAATCTGTACGAATGTTTTTTGAACCTACTTTACCATCTTGCTGGCTACCTCAGAGGATTAAATACATTTTGAAATGTGTTCAATATATACTTGTATGAAAGCCATCTCTATAAATATTTTTTAAATTATATTTTGATGGAGTGGGCCTTTTCATCTTATTGCTCTAGGAAAAATCTCTTGATTGTTTCTATCTAGCTAAGGTCATATAAGGAAAGATGGTCCTTGGCACTCTAGCAAAAAAGTGTGGAATATATTATATTTGGTAAGTGGTGGTGGTTAATTGATAATGTCTATTTACTTCATATCTTTGATGAGTGGGTCAAAATATCTACATAGAAACCAAGTAGCCTCAGAGAAAAATACAGGTCCTAGATTCCAACCTTTCTTTAATTTGTTTTATACTTGGTTTTTGCAGGTATATTGTAGGTATATATATTTATGTTCAACCTTTCTCTTTTTGAGACTCAGTTTCAGTAAAATCTCTCTGATCTCACGGCTTGAAGTCAACCAGGCTGAAGAATGCTGGCAGAAAGTAAATCAAGGTCATCCAAGGGATACTCACTTGGAATAGTCTGGGCAGGTGAATCAGGCTGACTTTCAGAGCTGCGTGGTCGTGGAGAAAGAAGTATCCAAAAAAATGTGTGGAAAAGGCTGAAAATCTCTGTTTCTCATTACTTTGGTCTTGAGGGGCTGATATGGAAATAGTCATTCAGCATATAATGCCAAAAAAAACAACAGTGATTTTGGAAACCACAGGGAGGGTACCTCTGGACATTTTCCAAATAAGAGTTGCCACCGACTGTGGAGGGATATGCACCAGCATGAGTTGCTCAGGGACAATCAGTTTGATAGACCAAACTGTCCATATGGCCACTAATGCTAACTGTCCATATGGCCACCAAGCATGACACTTTGGGGAAGACTTTTTTTTTTGGCCCCACCTTCTATAACCTGAGTAAGTCCTGCCTGACTAGTAGAGGAGCTACTGGAGTAGTGGACAATGTGGACATCCTCACTATATGTGTGTTGGGGGAGGGGGTGGGCAGGGGCGTTCTTCTAACAACAATGACATTATATGTCAGTGATGGAAGAAATGGCACCAGGAGTAAAAAGGCTACTACTAGAATAGATCAAATCCATTAAGCCCGTGGTTCTATGGTCTCATTCCAATTGTTATGAGTAGAATTGTTCCCCCCCAAATTAATATGTTGAACTAAATTGCAGTGCCTCAAATTATGACTTTATTTGGAGATAAGGTCTTTATGGAGGTAATCATGTTAAAATGAGATTATTTGAGTGAACCCTAATCCAAAATAATTGATGTCCTTATAAAAAAAGGGAAATTTTGACACAGAAATGTGTATAGGGAGAATGACATGTGAGTATGAAGGCAGCCATAACAAGCTAAGGAGAAAGGCCTTGAACAGAGCCTTTCCTCACAGGCCTCAGAAAGAGCCAACCACACCAACATCTTGGTTTCAGACTTCTACCACCAGGACCACAAGATAAATTTCTGTTGTTTTAAGCCACTCAATTTTTAGAATTTTGTTATGGCAGCCCTAGCAAATGAATGTGTGAGTTTTTATTTGGACAATTATCTAGACTTATAAAAACACATAAATTCACAAATACTATATAAAATCTTAATGTATTTGTAATATATCATAAGTATTTCTATTTGCAAATGTTCACACAGTTTACCCTTGTAAGAGGAGATAACTCACACCAGTGATGCAGTTGTTGATCAAAAGCATTTTAGAAACTAATTTTAGTTTTACTGTTGGCATCTGTCTCTCTTATTTTCTGCTTCCCCTTGGACTGCAAGCACAAGAGTGGACATATGCCCAAGACTGACTGATCATGTTGTCTCCTGCACCTAGCACTATGATTCATCTGGTCATGAAATGTCTTCAAGATAGATGCTTTTGTTGCCTTCCAAGAAACTTCTCCCAATTTTAATAATTTATTTATTTCAAATAAATTAATAATAATTTATTTTGAATTGTTTTCCTATAACTTACAACTGTAATGCAAAAGTCTTGGTCAATACCTTTTCTTAAAAAAAAAATCTTTCCTTCATAGTAATACCAACAAAGATTAAGTGTGGTTATAAATCTTAGATATTTTTAGAACTGGATTATTTGACATTATAGAATTGGAAATCTGGATCACCCTTCCATGACCACACAGTTATAAATAGAATTAGAATTAGAAACCAACCCTTACAAATTAGTTTAAAAAAACATATAAATTACCTCTTCAAGTAAAAGGGAGCAATAAAACTCACATATTCTAATTCCCAGTCTAATATTTGAATCCTCTTGATAAAAAATATTAAATTAATATGTCATGTTTACTATAACACCTTGCCTTCCATCTTGATGGAAAAAATAAATGATATTTAAGTCTCAATATTCCCAATGAGGAAAATAGTAATGCTGCTTTGTTCTAGGCATGCTGCAGGTGTATAAAATAATGGATCTAGTTTCCTATGGAGTTTATAAATAGGTTTTACAAAGTTCAAAATCAAAGATGCTCCATAGTCTTGATTGGATGGCTGGCTACCAAATTTGTCATGTAGAAATAGTTAACATCAATAATAATATCTGTGTAATAATATACACTCTTATGACAGCTTAGAAATATCGACATATTGTATCCCAGACTTGTGCTTTCAGTTATACGAAAATATATTTCACTTGGCATTGAGATTTCTTTTTAATATTCAGAACTCTTTTGCTTGCATTGAATAGAACAATGTGGGGTGTGAGTGGCACAAGATAATCACTACAGAACAATTGTTCTTTTAGTTCAAATCTAGAATATATGTTCCTATGTAGGGAAATAATACCTAAGGCTAAAGTCTCATACCAGATAAAATGCTGTTTCGATGATCACAAATCAAAGTTATCTCACAGGAATTATGTAAACAATTCTATTATTGTATACCAAGCACTGAGGGAAAAATATGCATAAATTTAAATCTATTAGATTTGCTTATTTTAATCCACTCAAAATATAAACAAATTACATATAAAACAACTAAGACAATATTACATGAGGCAATTAATTTATAAGTCATATTACCTTGGCTTCTCTGCTACTACCAGATTTTTCCAGTTTTTACACCATAGATCCACGGTTAAAATAGCTAAAATTTAGTATGTACTTATTATCTACCAGGTATTGCTCTAAGCACTTTACAATGTATATTTGTGCCAGAAAGTGCTCGTTGTCCCTAATATCTATTAGTTACTTCCTCTACTGTAATAGAATCCTTTATCCTCAACACATGGCCACCCAGAATGAGGATTTTATTTCTAAGTTCTAATTAATGAGGAGTTCACTGAAAGCATGGTACAATTTTCAGACTTGCCTTTAAAGGAATGGCATCTCTATGTTGGCTGAAATGCTGATCTTTTTATGTGCCACCTAGCAATAAATATCATAAGATGGTGGGAAAAAAATTTTAGAAAACTGAACCTGAGACCACTTCAGAAAGTAAGGCTACATATTACCGTTAAATTTTATGTGAGGAAGAAATAAATTGCTATCATAGTAAGATTTCAGAATTGGGGATTTTGGTTAAGCATATGTAGTTCATATGTACTAGTATAATCCAGTATGCCTCTATGAATTATAGGCCTTTTCTACAATAAAGTGTGTATCCACGTGAATTTTATTTAAATTTTTGGGTATTCTTCTCCTTGCTGAAGTCCATTCATGTGCATTTGAATCTGAGGTTAGAAGTCATTGCTTTAATGAATCTGTAAATTGCTTTGGGTACTATGGACATTTTAACAATATTAATTATTTTAATTCATGAACATAGGATATTTTGCATTTACTTGTATCTTCTTCACTTTCTTTTATCAATATTTTATAGTTATCAGTGTATAAATCTTCACCTCCTTGGTTAAATTTTCTATTTCATTTTCTGATGCTATTGTAAATCAAATTTTTAAAAATTTCCTTTTCAGACAGCTTGTTGTTAGTTTATAGAAATGCTACTGATTTCTGTATATTGATTTTGTAACCTGCAACTTTACTTAAATGTATTAGTTCTAACAGTTTTTTGGTGGAGTCTTGAAAATTTTCTATATATCAGGTCATGTCATCAGGAAACAGAGACAATTTTACTTCTTCCCTTCCTGAATGAATTATTTTTATTTTTTTCTTCCCTAATATTCTGGCTAGAGCTTTTAGTATTATGTTGAATAAAAGTGGAGAAAGTCTTAAAATGTCCACGCAAACTAAGCTATCTACAGAGTCAATGAAATTCCTAATAAAATTCCAATGTCATTTTTCACAGAAATAAAGAAAAAAATCCTACAATTTGTATGGAACCAGAAAAACCACGAAAAGCCAAAGCAGTTTTGAACAAAAGGAGCAAAGCTGTACGCATCACACTTTTTTCAAAATATATTATAAAGCTATTTTAAGACATTGTAATATATTATAACCAAAACATATGGTACTGCCATAAAAGTAGAGACATCAACCAATGAAGCAGGATAGAGAGCATGGAAATAAGCTCAAGTATTTATAGCCAAGTGATGTTTGACAAAGATGTCAAGAACACACAGGGGAGAAAGGACAGTCTTTTCAATAAATTATGTTGGGATAACTGGATATCCACATACAGAAAAAATGAAATTGGGCCCTCCTATTACACCATATGCAAAAATAAACTTAAAATGGATTTTAAATTTGATCCAGCAGTCTCACTTCTGGGTAACTACCAGAGGAAAAAAAGTCATTATATGAAAAAGATACTTGCACACACATTTATAGCAGCACAATTCACGACTGCAAAATCATGGAACCAACCCAAATGCCCATCAATCAACGAGTAAATAAAGACACCGTAGTATATTTATACCATGGAATACTACTCAGCCATAAAGAGGAATGACTTAACGGCATTTGCAGCAATCTGGATGAGACTGGAGACTATTATTCTAAGTGAAGTAACTCAGGAATGGAAAACCAAACACCATATATTCTCACCAATATGTGGGAGCTAAGCTATGAGGATACAAAGGCATAAAGTGATCCAACGGATTTGTGGACTTGGGGGGAGTGGTGGGAGGTGGGGAGGGATAAAAAACTACAAATATGGTGCAGTGTATACCGCTCAGGTGATGGGTGCACCAAAATCTCACAAATCACCACTAAAGAACTTACTAATGTAACCAAATACCACCTGTTCCCCAGTAACTTATGGAAAAAAAATTTAAAAAATGCTTAAACATAAGATCTGAAATTACAAAGCTACTAGAAGTAAACGTGGAGAAAATCTTCATGACATTGGTTTTGGCACTGATTTCATAGATACAACATAAAAATACAAGCAACTAAAGCAAAAATAGACAAATGTGATTGTATCAAACTAAAGTGTTTCTGCATAGCGGAGTAAACAACAGAGTGAAGAGACAACCAATGGATTGGAAGAAAATATTTTCAGACCACATATCTGATAAGGAGCTAATATCCAAAATGCATAAAGAACTCAACTCAATTGAAAAAAAAAACTATTAATAATGGGCAAAGGATCTGAATATACATTTATCAAAAGAGGACATACGAATGGCCAACAGATTCATGAAAAAATGCTCAACATCTCTATTTTGGAAATGCAAGTTAAAACCAAAATGAGATATCACCTCATAGCTGCTAGAATGGCTATAAAAAAGATATGTAAGTGTTGATGAGAATGTGGAGAAAAGGAACTCTTGTACACTGTTGGTGGAAATGTAAATCAGTACAATCATTTTGGAGAATACATGTAGGTTCCTCAAAAAACTAAAAATATAATTACCATATGATCCAGCAATCCCATGTCTGAGTATGTTTCCAAGGAGATTGAAATCAGTATGGTAAAAAGATATTTGCACTTCCATTTTCATTTCAGCATTATTTAAAATAGCCAAGATTTGAGAGTAACATAAGTGTCCATCAACAATTGAAAGGATAAAGAAAATATGGTATACACACAATGGAATATAATAAATCTTAGAAGAGAATGAAATGCTGTCATTTGTAACAACATGTATGAAACTGGAGGACATTATGTTAAGAGAAATAAGGCAGGCAGAGAAAGATAACTGCTTATAGTCTCCCATATACGTAGAATCTAAAAAAGTTGGTATCATAAAAACAGAGACTGAGGAGGGGTTAGGGGAGGCCAAGGGATAGGGAAAGTGGAGATGCTGATAAAAGGATACAAAGTTGTAGTTAGACTAGAGGAATAACTTTTAGTGATCTATTGTACTGCACAGTGACTGCAGTTAGTAATTATGTATTGTAAATTTTAAATTGTTAAAGAACTAGATTTCTAACATTCTCACCCCAAATAAATGATGCTGTTAGTGAGCTGATAGGTAAGTTAATTAGCTTTATTGAATCTTATCTACGACATATACATAGATCAAAACATCACGTTGTACTTCATAAATGTACACAACTATTATTTCTCAATCAAAAAGAAAGAAAAGAACAAAAGAAGGAAGGAAGGGAGGGAGGGAGGAAAATAAAAGAATCATTGGTATAATGGATGAATGACTTTCCCATTAACAAAATGTTACTTAAAAATAATGTTAATCTTGAAAACCCTTAGCTTTCAAGCCTTGATAGTTGGTACTGCAAAAAAAAAAAAGTCATCAAAAAACAGTATATATGTACATAATGATTTAAAAATACCACTTAAAAACAGCATATACATGTTAAAACATGTATTTGTTAAAAACAGCATATATATATATATATATATATAATATTTGTTGTACATAAAACAAACTATTTTCAAATAAACTAAGTTGCTTGGTCATTGATAAGGCCTAGAAATAGTCTGTGGGGAGGTTTAGCACTGCCCCTAAATAATCTACATAAAATCCCAAGGTGAAATCAAATATCATTTCATAAAGTAGTACTATTTCATAAACACATTGACATTTTTAAAATTTTACATAAAACCAAAAAGAAGCATTTTAGAAGGTGTACTTGCTATTTTTATTTGTATTATATAACCTAAATAAAAAGAGAGTGCCTTCTAGGCACATCCAGATTTAAAACTGCCTTCACTGACCCTTCCACCAGACTGCTGCTCCCAAAATCAAGCTATACAGAAATTTTGAGCTGTCACTAGGAAATAGCTGCTAAAAGTCGTCAAAGCAAAGGCAACTTGGTTGAGAAAATATGAGTGCTTGGCATCACAATTTACACAAATAAGAATTTGTATTCCATTTATTTTATTTTCTTTCTGTTTTCCATCTCCAGAATATAGAGGAGGTAACAGTCTTTGGAGGGTAGTAGGGCAGAAAAGTGAATTAAAGCCTTCCCCATGATTCAGTCAGACAACTCAGGCTGAGTGAACAGAGCCTGTGGTCAAGTCAGAAACATGTGACTGCTTCAAAGATAAGTGGCTGCAGTCTTTTGATGTTCAGTAAGGGTTTCCAGCTCTAAAATTCTATAATTACTTATAAAACCGAAAGAACTAGCTAAGACACAGAGGGAGATGACAAATAAAAAGTAAACATTGATGAGAATAACATAAACCTTTAAAATATTTAGCATTACATCTAAAAAAGTGACCTATGATGAAGATTAATTTATATCAGATACATTATTATATATCTGATAAAGTAAACATATAAGAAACGTAATATAGTACATTGTATAATATATAATACCTAAAAATGTTGCAATCTACCTACAAATATCAATACAAATGCAAATATAAATATGACACTTAGACTTTAGTTGAGAACTATGCCAAAAGATGTTATGTAGATCCTGCTTTGGGCATGAATTGTTATAATTTCCAAAATGATTATCTGATGATCTGATGATCTCATGTATCACTAACTTGAAAGAGATTAGTACACATACACACACACACACACACACACACACATTTGAGCATATATTCATATATACACACATATATACACATATGTATGTGTATATAAGGCTACATGTTTTATATAGTTATGTGAACAAAATAAAGAAAATACCATACTATAACTATACAAAATTGGCCCTTTAATCAAGCCTAGAAACATTCAAATGATAAAGTGAATTGCTGAATTATAAGTAATGTTTCCCTGAAGAATTATAATAATTATAATAAATAACTTATACACATCCAGCAATAATCTTAAATAGCTGTTACCATGGACATCCTTTCACTCAGGCAAACAGACAGCATAGTCACCATAAAATATGTACTTTCATTTCAACAGACCATGTCAACCTGGAGTGATAATGATGAGGTCTCTGCCTTGACTGTTCAGCATGTCTGGTATTGTAGAGAATACATAGGGTAAAAACTTGAGAGGGTTATTCATCAGGCTAAAAAAGTGTTATGATCTTAACAGCTCACAACATATTTCCTCTTAAGGAATTAATTATACTTGTGTTTAGGAAATCATTTTCAAAAGTCACTTGGCATGTATGGTGAGACATTGAAGGCATCGGTAGACAGTAAGTGACAAGACGTCAAAAAAGACAGTTAAACTGCATACATTAGAACTGAACAGAAAGATAGGATTAGAGGAAAATTAAACAGAAGGAGAGGAGAGAAAGCCAAGGACAATGATGCAATGGCCAAAGACGTTTTAGGACAAGCATATTTAATATATCTTTAGACCTACACATATCTTAAGTTATTTATGCTGCCTTTGAGGAATCTGAGCAGCTCATATTCTCATACTTATAACTACCTTCCTCATTGTCCATGAATTTAGCTTGTCAGATTACCTCTTTGCTCTTGGAATAAGTTATTTTCCATAAATTTCCTGAGTGCATTTTACAAATGGATCCTTGGCAGTTCGGCTATACCAGCTGTCTGGACAGGTCAGTTACTCTGAATTCCCTAACGGTAAGCAACATGACGCTTCAAATTGGGCTCCCAGCTTGTTAAATCCCAGTTTAACTCATTGCCCATCTTAACTTTTAAAGATTAATCTCAGGAAGAAGTTGTCTTTTCTATGTTGATCATGACCTTCCTTTGAGGCAACAGTGACGAGATAGGGACTCAAATTCAGAATGTTTATGAAAATAATTACAATGTGACAATTTGTGTCCAATCCCTTTCTTGGAAAACAGGGCAGGAGAAGCAATGGGAGAGAGATAGATCAGAAGATAAGTGTTGTTGACTGTAGATATGAGTGATATCAAAACCAAGGGGGTAGAGAGGGATGAGAGTCAATTGGGTGAGGTATCAGGCAAGTTTCCTAAAGCAGAGAGGGACTCTAAATAAGCTATCCAAGAAAAAGCCTAAGCCAGAAACAAAATTTGAGTGTAGAAATTGGACAGTCTGAGGGGAACAAAAAAATGAAACATACAAAGTGATAGGACAATCTAGTGGTGATAACTTGATTCTGGGTAGAACTTAAAGAGACTTGAGGGATGACCATTTTTCAAAGACCAGATAATGACGTTGATAATGCAAGGGTAATATAATGAAATTTAAATCTGCTGCACAGCCCTGAACATAAACTAACTAAATCATTCATTACTCACAAAAGAGACATCTAATATTTGGAAAGTACTAGTTTTGTTGGGGTTGAGATACAAGATAATCATCTCCTTGAATATACCTTTCTTAGGGATTTTCAAAGTTTATTTTGACTATGTCTAAGGTTTGCCACTAGCCACCACATGTGAGACTGAACAGGTGGAAAGATAGACATGTAATCACACTAAATTCTCCAGTCCCATTATTGTTAACATACTCAATATAATTAACAATAAGGGTAATGTAATTCTCTGAAAATGTTTGTTTCTTGAACAAAAGGATGTATAGATTTAACATATTTTAGTAATATGATTCTTCTCTGCCTCAGAAAACATTCTGATAACACTTAAATAAGTTAGACTGAAAATCATTCTATATTTAAAGGAAAATGACAAGGATCATCTCTCTCAAGTATGCAGAACATAATATTTGCTATTTATTTTTGTCCTTGAATTAAAAAGAATATTATCAATTGTATAATTTGGTGAGTGATCAAAATTTTTTTAATCTACATAGAATCACACTAAGAAAACATAAGTTGATTTTATAGTACAGTTATTTGAGCTATCTATTTTGCTAGACTGTAAAATTTATGAGAGTAGGGACCACATCTGGTTTTCTTATTTAGAGCACACCATTACAAAGTATGGGTTAAAACATGTTAAATGAGTCAGTAGCTCTCCATTATATCAGATGTGTGGAGAAAAAAAAAAAAACCTCAATAATTAGAATTATTTTCAAACCACAAATTTTGTTAAATAAATTTCCCTGAAATGAATGAGAGCATTAGCATTTTGCACTTAAATTCAAAATATTAAGTATTGATGATGTATCAGACAGATACATAATCAAAAGGTTATTTTTTTGGTCATTCAGTTAATATGTATATGGTGTTTTCTATGTGTCATGCTTTTGTCTAGGCTTTGTGGATACAGCTATAAATACAAGATTCTGAATTCCTGAAATTCATATTTTAAAAAGGAAGACATAATAATCAAATAAATCTAAAATATAATTTTAGGTAGTATGATTAGTGCTATGAGAAAAATTAGAACAAAAGAAGGAGCCAGAGAGAAATAATCATATAAATTGAGAGGGGATTGTCAGATACAGATATTCTGAATAATGGACATTTGAATAAAGGACAGAATGAGTAATATCTGGGACATAATCATTACAGACAGACGGAATAGCAAGAGCCTGTCCTCAATCATCTTCTCATCTAGTTTCCAAATAATGGAGACAATAAACACAAATGCAGTCTAAAGAGAGATCAAAGAATAAGTTTACTAAGAAAATGTTCAATTATCCCTAAATTTAGGATTTCTGGAATGATGAATTAGAGAGTATGGATTTAAATTGGTATTACAATGGACCATCTTACTCTTTCCTTGAATCTAAACCTTGAAGCATACTGATGGGGAACACGGTTTGATATCACAAGTTTCATCTACTTCGCCAGGCACCTGCTCATGCACCAAATTGCCTGCAAAATGGACAGCTCAAGAATGCCAAGTGAAATTCTGAGAGGGAATGACAGGTTACATTATGGCAGGTCAGGGAATTGATCTATCTTTTTCTGATGGTGTGTTAACTGCATGGATGCAATGTATATTGGAGAAGATAAGATAATATGTGTACCCACTGGAGAGTGAATATAATATAATTCAAACAAGAGACTATGTCTTACATGAGCAGTGACTTTCTGAATACAGCGCACCCACCAGTAGGAGAAACACGGCCTATTGACAAGTTCTCACCAGTCCAATTATTTGTTCTTATTGCTAAAAGGAAAAGTAAGGGGAAAGGTGGGATAGCAAGATATTACAGAAATTTCTTTAAGTATTTCTTCAGACAAGCTAAAGTGAGACTATTAGACAAAAGTTTACCTTCAACATTCCTCAAATATTGTTCTTTTATCCCAACAGACAATGAGAACACCTCTGGTCAACCAGGAGTGTGTGTGTGTGTGTGTGTGTGTGTGTGTGTGTGTGTGTGTGTACACATACATTGGCGAAAAGACCAACAAGTCATGATTGTTCTGAAGTTCCCTTTATCATGTTGTCCCCTAATCTCTACTACCAGTAAGCCTTTGTGTTATCTTAGGA
Source organism: Homo sapiens (assembly GCF_000001405.40). Lineage (NCBI taxonomy): Eukaryota > Metazoa > Chordata > Mammalia > Primates > Hominidae > Homo > Homo sapiens. The sequence continues at coordinate 49,485,388 of NC_000011.10, read as the reverse complement.
TGAGGCATGGGTGGTTCAGTGTTTATAATAAGACGAGTCTAAAATGGACAATAAAGGGATTTTAGTTATATATTATTTTATTTTTTGTCTTAAATTTTCCTTGTCATGTAGTCCAGTGTGTCTGGTCAGAGGATATAGGACAACCAACACTATGAGGTGGAATGAAAGTATTCCACGGCCAGGTGCAATGGCTCATGCCTATAATTCTAGCACACTGAGAGGCTGAAGCGGGAGGATTGCTTGAAGCCAGGAGTTAGAGACTAGCCTGGGCAAAAAAGTGAGACCACCCCCCGAACCAAATCCATAAAAAAAATAGTATTTAAAATAATATAACTTTTGCAATATAAAAAGTACATTAGGGAAAAAAATCAAACCTCTCAATAAGAAAATTTAAGTCTGAAAAAATTAAATTACTGACTCTTTATAGTCAAAAGACATTCAAATCAGAAGTTTTTAACTATTTAATATCTTAGTATGCTCAGTCTCCACCCAAAGAATTTCTCTCAAATAGTATCTGAGTTTCTCTGCACAATTCTGACTCCTTCAGCATCTTTAGATGGATATCACAAATTATCTCTTCAACTACACATGCTTTTTCTCTGTAAAAATGCAAAAATAATTATAGTACTTTAAAAAATTATGCTAAGCAGGATTTTGTTTCAGAAACTAGGACTTAAAAGAGTTTAGATCATCATTTTAAAAAAACCATAGCAAAGACATCTGGATGGTATTTTGGAAAAATGGGAATTAGAAAAAAACAAAGGCATGTAAAGAATCTGAAATGCACTTACATTCTTTCAAAACTTAAACATTTGCAAATATGTCACATCTAGACACCAAGTCTTACTGAGGCTGCATTCCTCCCCACGGTGTATTTCTCCCATCAATATTTAATTTTTTTGCTCTAATCCAAAAAGAGTCTTAATTAAATGGAATCTGGTTTCCTTTGTAATACTTGCCCTCTGAAAGACTCAAACTTTCTCATTTATTCTGCATTTTTAGAGAATCTGAATCAATATAACCACAAAATGGCTGCTACCGTCCTTTTTCCCAATACTCTGCAACCACCTCCCTCCAACACACCAATATGCTGGAGATCAGGTAGGAGGCAGGGTGTCCTACTGGTTCTATTTGATGGGAAAACTAGAAACAAGAAAATGAAAACAAAGTGAAAACCTTTTAATCAGCAAAGCATATGCCTACTAACCCCAAAGCACACAGTGTTCATGGTAAAAGTGGATTGAAGAATGAGGTTTAGATAGACATCAAACAGGATCCTCATATATTCACCCATGTTTATAGTCTGGAACACTCACTCTAAGGAAGGAGCTGAATTTGCCAGGTACAAATAATTCAGATCTTCCACATTTACCAGTTACTTACAGGAAAAGGAGAGAGGAGAACAATGAGAGAAACGGACAGAAAACCCATCCAAAGATAGGAAAAGAGAAAGGAGACAAAGAGAAACACAGAACAGATGAAGGGATAGAGACAGGTAAAAAGAGAGACAGAGAGGGAGATGAGGGGTGGGGTAATTGAGGATATTTGGCCTGCCTTTAGAAAGCAACTGTAGGACTTTGATCCAAGTGTTCATACCACATGGAAGCAGAAAACAGAGAAGAGTCTTTCCATTGATCTTCCTACTCATCTATGAGGTGGTCAGAGCAAGGAGAATGGTAAAGTATATTTCCAATGTTGCTCACTCTACGTCTGAGTTTCACAAATTATATTAACTACTCTTTATCTTATGAGCAGGGGCAATAAGGAGATTCCTAGAAGATGGAAACTGCCTTCTTAGCATGATGCCAGAGGACACACAGTCTACAGAACTGCTCTCCTCTGAGAGCCCAGATAGGAATGTAGGAAAAGGAAAAAGATTTCATCCACCATACACACCACTTTTCAGATTTTAAGGTGGATTTCTATGACAGGTTGTATAATAGTGTCTGCAGCCATGAACAGAAAAGTGACTGATAAATAGAAATGTTGGAGAACTTTATGCAGAGGAAGTAACAATTGTAAGAAGCTATAAAAATTAAGTAGGATTTTCATCAGTTTGTCAAATGAAAAAGACCATTCTAGGTAATAAGAGCAAAAACCTAGGGATATAAACTATATGTCTTGTTTAGCAAATAATGAGATTCAGTCAGAAAATGGTTGTGTGACTGGAATTGATAGAGAAGGAGAAATGGAGAGGTGGTGTATGCATGTGAGTGTGCCGAGGTATGTAAAGAAGGCTACTTGTTATTATGATATGGTTGTTTTAAATGTCATACTAAGAATTTATATCTTAATCTTTAGCAATGGAAAACCAATAAAGGAATGTTCAGTAGAGGAATGACAGAATATGATGAGTGATTTAAGAAAAAATATCTTTGGTGGCCATTTCAAATGTGAGAAAGAAAAACTAAAGTTGATGTGATCACAAAGTCTTTCTGGCCCAGGCAATCTCATCTACATCACTGGTACAATGGTCCCCATGAGGTATGAGGTTTTATATTTTCACAAGACAGAACCTCTCTGAGAATTTTGGGCCTCTGTAGCTTTTGGTAATGCTCTGAGTGAGTCTTTGACAAATCTAGCTATGATACCAATAGAGTTCAAGGCTTTATGTAATAGGCCAAAGACAATGGGGGAGATCTAGACTCAGAGAGTTGCAGTGAATAACATTCCCAATTGACAAACTTAATCATCCTGTTCTTTGTGCCTAGTGACCAGCTACAAAATAGTTCTCAACCTTGGATGGCATCACTGACTTGAAAGTGCTAGGTAATTTACGGGAGTGTGTTTGATTACTGAAATCACTGGGGAGTGCTGCTGTATTTTACTAAACAGGGTTCAGAAATGCTAACCTTCCTGAAACATGTAGGGCAGGTCCTTAGCAATAACTAGCATCATAACGATCCCATTCAAAATGCCAACAGTGCTCCTATGAGAAAAATTGTTACATCAATATTTACCAAAGTGTTCTGGGGAACATTTTAGTCCCAAGGAATTCTGTGAAAAACAAACCAGTACCCAGAAATAAACCCACATATATATAGTCAACTAATTTTTGAAAAAGGCACTAAGAATAAACAATAAGGAAAGAATAGTCTCTTCAATAAATTATACCGTGAAATGAAAAAGAATGAAACTGGACCCTTATAATACATCTTACACAAAATCAACTCATAATAAATTAAAGACTTAAAAGTAAGAACTGAAACAATAAAGTTTCTAAAAGAAAACATAAGGAAAAGCTCCTTAACATGAGTCTTGGCAATGCTTTTTTGAATTTTACACCAAATGTACAGGGGACAAACACCAAAATGAATAAGTGGAATTACAGCAAACTAAAAGTCTTTGCACAGCCAAGGAAACAATCAACAAAACAGAAAGGCAACCAAAAGAATGGGAGAAAAAAATGCAAATCATATATCTGATAAAAAGCCAATATTCAAAATATTACGAGCACATGCAACTCAACATCAAGAATAATAATAAACACAATTTTAAAATAGGCAAAGGACCTGATAAGATTTTTCAAAGAAGACATATAAATGACCAACAGGTATATATGAAAATGTTCAACATCACTAATCATCAAGAAAATGCATATCAAAACAGCAATGAGCTATTACTTCACACCTGTTATGATGGCTATTATTTTTAAAAATGAAAGACAAGTGTTGGTGAATGTGGAGAAAGGGGAATCCTTTAACACTATTGGTGAGAATGTAAATTGTTTAGAGCCATTATGGAAAACAGTATGGGGTTTCCTCAAAAAACTAAAAATAGAACTACCATATGGTTTAGCAATCCCAATTATGAGTTTATAGCCATGGGACTAAAATAACTGTATCAAAGAGATATTTGTACTATAATGTTCATAGCAGCATTATTGACAAAAGCCCGTCTATAACTGAATGGATAAAGTATGGTATATATTATTCAATTGAATATTATTCAGCTTGAAAAAAGGAAATTCTATTTTTTCTGGCAACATGGAGGAAACTGGAGGACACCATGTTAAGTAAAATAAGCCAGACAGAAAGAAAAGCATTGCATGCTCTCACTTATATGTGGAATTTATAAAGAAGTCAAACTCATAGTAACGGAGAGTAGATTGGTAATTATTAGTGACTGGGGGGGTGAGGAAAAAGGGGGCATATTAGTTAAAGGACACAAAGTTTCATTTAAAGATAAATAAATTTCATAGGCCTAATGTACATCATGATTACTACTGCTAATAATAATGTGTTGTATATTTGAAATTTGTCGAGAGTAGATCTAGGTGTTCTCACCACATACACACAAACGGTAACTATGTGAGATAATGAATATGTTAATTATCTGTATTGTGGTAATTATTTCACAATGTATATGCATCTCAAAACATCAGTTTGTACACTGTGAGTGCATGTAATTTTTATTTGTCAATCATACTACAAAAAAGCTGGGAGGGAAACAAAGATACTGTTCTGCAATACGTTAGTTTGCCAATTCTGAATAATATACTTCCTCCTAAGAGAAATTCATACATTTGCATAGGTAAAGAATTAAACACTTCTCTTATGCTTTAAGTAATTTGATTTTAAAAAACATATGTGTTTATAACATCCTATGGACCACTTTCAAATATGTACACTTCAAATAGCAAGGAAAACTGCTGGTTCTCAAATTTGCTTTTGATTAGACCCAACTAGGGATCTTTAAAAAACAAAAAAATCGGCCGGGCGCGGTGGCTCACGCCTGTAGTCCCAGCACTTTGGGAGGCCGAGGCGGGCGGATCACGAGGTCAGGAGATCGAGACCATCCCGGCTAAAACGGTGAAACCCCGTCTCTACTAAAAATACAAAAAATTAGCCGGGCGTAGTGGCGGGCGCCTGTAGTCCCAGCTACTAGGGAGGCTGAGGCAGGAGAATGGTGTGAACCCGGGAGGCGGAGCTTGCAGTGAGCCGAGATCGCGCCACTGCACTCCAGCCTGGGCGACAGAGCGAGACTCCGTCTCAAAAAAAAAAAAAAAAAAAAAAAAAAAAAAAAAAAAAAAAAAAATCCTGGTGTAAGATTCCCACCTCCAGAGATTCTGGTGATGCCTATGCATCAGTGTTTTTTAAACTCCCTTGGGGATTTTAATAATCTAGCCAGGTTGACAACTACTGCTTTTAATTATCACTGCCTTTACTCAACAGGCACTCATTTCTCATGACAGATGCCAATGGCATTTGTTTATTTGTTTATTTATTTATTTAGAAGCTGTCTTAGTTTGAATTAGTATAGCAGCATGATAAGCAAAAAATTAAAATCAGGACTATAATCATATTTGCAGGTCTATCTTCAGATATTAGAGCAACTACAGACTCATGTCTTTCAAGTTTCATTTTTCTCATATAAGAAATGACAAAGTAAGTACGCATTGGCTTATCACATGGCAATAATAAATCGAAAGAGAAATAGATATTATGTTGGATGGAGCACATTTTGAAGAGACATAACAAAAATCACTACAGACCAAGGAAAGACATGTTTAGGCACATATTTAGAAAGAAGGCTCCAGCAAATTACAGAAATAGATGCAAAAAAGAGAGACTAGAGGTGGGAATGGTCAGCAGGACTTACCAAATAACCAGAGAAGTGATTATGAAGCTTCAAATTATGGCTGGGCACTAAGGATGAAGGAAATGACTCAAGTAGAAGTATTTCTTTGTTAGGATCTTGCTGGAATGCTTATTGGTATAAGTGAGAAAAATGAGAAAATGAAAATTTTTACATATAGCTCCCAGATTTTTAGTTCAGGAAGCTAAAATACAGGAGAATGAAATAATTTAGAAGACATACATTTAGAATCACGTTTTTTTTTAAAGTAGATATTTAAAACTATTAAAATTTAGATATTTATCCAGGCAGAAAAAATAAAGAAATTAACGGAAAAGACAGAGAATAGAACTTGAGAAACATCTACGTAAGGGATGACAGGGAGAAGAAAAGCAAGTGAAGGAGAAATAGATAAAATGATTACAGTATGACAAAACCACAGAAAACCAAAATCGGGAGATATTCAGTGGGGAAGAGGAAGATAACAGGACCAGGGTACAGAGAAATGTCAAAGAACGAGAACAAAGAAAAACACATTGTTCTAGCCACTAGGAACCTACTGCTGACCTGTGAGAGTTGTGTTTCCTATGCTGAATAGAAGTATGGGAAATGGGGAGTTGGGCTGTGAAATGAGGGCAAGGAACAGCAACCATGAAAAGGTCAAGAGAAAGTTTATCATGGAGAGACCTGATGAGTTTCTGGGAAGACTGAAAGGACTGAAGTAGGGTGTCATAAGGGGATGGAGGTGGGGTTTGGGAGGACAGATGAAAGAACAAGTTATAAGAGAAATCAAAAAATAAGGGTAAGGGTAGAGAGAGTATTAGCTTCTGAAGGGTAGAAAGTCTCCTTCTTATGAAGCAGCAGAAAGTTTTTAGAAAAGTAAGACAGCAAGTATGATGGCTAATTTAATATGTTAATTTGCCTGGCCCATGGTATCCATGTATTTGGTCAAACATTATCCTGGATGTTTCTGTTAAGGTGCTTTTGAGACGAGATTAACGTTTAAATTGGTAAATTTTAAATATACAGTTTACCCTACATAATCTCATACAATCAGTTGAAGGCCTTAGTAGAACAAAGACTGATCTAGAATTCTACCAGAGCAAGAAGGAATTCAACCAGTAGACTGCCTTTGGACTTTAATTGTGACTAATTCCTGAATCTTCAGCCTTCTGGCCTACTCTTACCAGATTTTGGATGAGCCAAGCCTCCGTAGTCATGTGAGCCAATTTCTTAAAGTAAAAAAAAAAAAAAAATCTCTTTCTGTCTCTCTGCAGAAACACACACACACACACACACACACACACACACACACATGTATATACAGGTACACATATATACAGATCTGTGTATAAAAACACATACATATACATCATATTGGTTCTCTCTCTCTGACGAACCTTGACTAATACACCAGATTATCTGCCAAGAAGAAGAAAGCGTGTGAGATAGATGTCGAGTATCTACTGTGGAAAAAACTCAATAGAAGTACCGAAGGTCCAATTGAATTTTAACAAATTTACCTTATATTTACCTAAGATGTCTTTTTCCTAGTGGTGACATTCTGGGAATTTAGGAGAAAAATGTTATGAAAAAGTGTTACTGAATTTCTCACTTATTTTGAATAGAAAACAATGTAAAAGAAGTCTATAATATTAGTGAGAATTTTTTCTTTAGCAGTGTATTAAAAGATATGAAAAAACAAATGTCAGAACTATTAACATTTCATCCTCTTCATGATCACAAAACTGATGACAAAAAAATATCATAAGCATCTGACTGAATTGGGTCATTAGTCTAGTAACAGCTCTAAAATTGGTGTGAGTGTGAAAACTTGGGCCAACTGAGGGAAAAAAATAATGTCTGTCATCAGCTTCCTGTAAGTGATTTTGACTGCTCATCAAATACAAAAAGATATTTTAGGTGATTTATTGCCTGTCATAAGAGATTCAGTCTCAAACCCTAAGTATACCTTGCTCAGTGTCGATCTGATCTATAAAAAGATAATTGGCACTCCTGAAGTTTTATGGACACAAAGAAAATCAGGAAAGAAGTTAAATGTAAACACTGCAAAATCCATTTCTTATTTGTCCAGTGTCTACTGTTATAGCATGTTTGAATAGAAGTTCAAAAGGTAGTGTGGCCCAAGGAGAGAGCATTTAGATGAAATTACTCCCATAGATGGAGTAATTACAAAGTCCTCAATGATAGTTTTGGAGCATGTCAATATTCAAACTCTCAGAGACTTCATTTTGAAGTCTGCAAAAGTCTTAATTGCAGTTTACTGTTCTTCACCCCATGGGGTTTTACTAAAAATGTGATGAGGAGTTCAAATAAACTGAATAGTAGTTATTGATGCCTATAGTGTCCACACAGAAATAATCATCACTATGTTTTCCACTAATTAGGAATCAATAGTGTTCCTGTTGTAGTTACCCACGCCATCCCTTCCCTTTTTAATGGATGTGGCCTTTTGAGGGATCAAGGTATTCTTACGTGAAAATATAATACAGAAAGAAGTGGAAGCCACTTGTTGGGGAGATCTTAGGAACTGTTACTGACGCATGACCTTGCTTTGTAAGGAGAGATTTCACTGCTTAAGAGTTAACGTTGAAATAGCAAAATATTACAACCAGTATCCCACAGTTCCTGTCTCTTCTCATCATCACATATAATACAAAAGATTAAAAAGTGTTTAAACCTAACTTGTCCCATTGCCTTCCTTTATCTTTGCAAGAATTATTCCTTTACCAAAAATTTGAGGACTATAATTTAGAGAAGCAATCTCTTATTACAGGAGTTTTTTCCTGTGTAGGAGTGAAGAAGAAAATATAGCAGTGGTGTTCTAAAGAAAATTTTTTTAGAAAAACAGAAAGAATTGAGGAATGTCCAGATAAATTATGACAATAGTAGTTATTCCCTTTTGTTATCCTTTAAGGAGCCTTGGGAAAATTGGGAGAGGGCAGTTAGTCAATTTTGATTCAAAAAATATTTCTTTAATACCCTTTAAAATGTACTCAAAATATGGAGAAAACTGTAAAAAGTAACAATCTGTTTCAATTCCAACCTTTAAATTTTAATCCTACAAAGAATTTTAGCTCTTTCAATACTCTAGAACCAGAGGCAATCACAAGTAACAACGTTAATATGTATACTTCAATTTTTTGTGAACTCACAGAGGCACATTTCTATTCTTAACATATTTGCACTTGCCAAACTTCCATCAAAATGCAGTCTGTTTCTCTATTCACTTGAATCAGGAGACCCTGTAACTTCTTTGCTTAATAGATGTTAAACGAAATAATGCTGTGCTGGTTACAGGTCCAGCCCTTCATTATACTGACAACTTCTACTTCCTCTTTCTTACAACATGCTTTGGAAGCTCCCTCTCTGAACTCAGTTTTCATGTTGTATGAAGCCTATACATATAGCAATATCTTGTGTAGCAATCTCTTCAACAGCTTCAGCTAAGCTCCCCTTCAGTGGTAGCATCATTTGCCATCTATGGGATGCCTATCCTGGTGTCCTCCAATTCCTGCTACCACTTCTATCAATGAAAAAACATGCTTAAGAAAACTCAAGAAAGAATGGCTCGGTTTAGCCACGTCAACCTACAGAACCATGAAAGATATATATCTATTTTTGTATTAAGACATTCAGTTGTGGGTGGGTTGTTATACAGTAATAGATAATTGAAACAGCCTTTTCATATTTTGAATTTTCTACTAGTGGAATTACAATGAATGTGGTAAGAAGATATTTCAGTGTCATTTGCAATAACATTTTTCTCTCTTAACAGTACATAAATTAATGGTTTGATTTATAATCAGTACATCTAATAATTAATGGTATCTCAGATTCAATAAAATATATTTCTTCATGATGCTGTGAATGAAAGCCTAACAGTTGTGATGATTGAGATGTGTTGGGGTATGTGTGGAGGACTTGGTATGCAGATTATGTGGACCCTAAACAGCTAGGGTTGCAGGACCGGAGATAAGAAGTGACAAAAAGGAGGGTACAGAACAGGGTGAGTAGGAGCACAAAAATAACCATCTACATCACAATATCTAGTGGAGCTTAAAAGTCAAGCTGTTTGCAAGGAGGTATCAGAAAATTGATCTGGAGGTGGAAATTTTATATTTCAGGATAATAGCTATATTAAAGTGCAGACCTCTAAGTGCTAATAATGAACTTAATAAATTGTGAGAAATTGGGCAAGGCATTTTATCTTCCCCCATTTCAGTTGCTTTACCTAAAAAATGAAGAAAATTCTAATTTTCTGCAGGATTATTGTAACGATATTATAAAATAATGCTTATGAAAAAATTTTAAACTGTAAATTGATAATACATGTATTTTATTAATATTGTTAAAGTGAAGTGATGGCTTATAATGAATCATATACCAGATTCTGAGCCAAAATTTAGCCCAGGATTCTATCATTATCTTATTTTAAAATATTGAGCCTATAAAGCATATGGTCATATTTAGATCACAGGGATGCAAAAATTTCTAACGAATATAAACATATCAGATACAGCAACATACAAAAAGTATAATACCTCATCATAAAGTGGAATTTATCCCAGGAATATACGGTTTGAAAACAATTTAAAAATTAAACATTATAATTCACCACACTCATTGACTGAAAAGGACAAATCATATGATTATCTCAGTGCAGAATTAAATATTTCACAAAAATTAGCATCCATTTATGATAATGGATGTTAACCATTTATGATAACCACAATAAGGAAAGAAAAACTTTTAAAAAACAATGAATAGAAGAAAACTTCCAAAAAATGATCAATTGAATCTACAAAAATCCTATAACTAACATCATAATTAATTTTCAAAGATGGAATGTTTTGCCCCTAATATCAGGGACAAGACAATGATTTCTTATCTCACCACTCATATTCAAGATTGTGCCAGGTATTATAGCCAGTACAACACAGAGAGTAAAGACATACGATTGGAAAGGAAGTCATAAAATTTCTCTTTTTTTACCAGATGACACGATACAACATACCAGAAATTCCAAAGAACCACAAAAATTATAAATATTAATTAAAAATTTGGCTGGGAGCGGTGGCTCACACCTGTGATCCCAACACATTGGGAGGCCAAGGTGGGCAGATCACTTGAGGTCAGGAGCTCGAGACCAGCCCGGCCAACATGCTGAAATCCTGTCTCTACTAAAAACACAAAAATTAGCCAGGCATGGTGGTGGGTGCCTGTAATCCCAGCTACTTGAGAGGCTGAGGCAGAAGAATTGCTTGAACCCAAGAGGCAGAGATTTCAGTTAGCCAAGATTACATTACTGCAGTTCCACCTGGGCAACAGGGTGAGACTCCATCTTAAAAAAAAAAAAAAAAAAAAAGAATACAAAGTCAACATACAAAAATTACTTGGATAATAAAAATATGATTTGCAAAATAGTATTAAAATGCATAAAATCCTTATGGATAAATCTAACAAAATATGTACAGAAACATGTACAAAATTTTTGTGCTGTAAACTATAAGACATTGAAGGGAGAAATCAAAAATAAAAATTTTTGTTTTGTTTGTTTGTTTATAGTGATGATGAACGATGCACCGTGTTCACAAATTAAAAGTCCCAATATAGGTGATATATCAATTCCCACAAAATCTATCTATAGATACAACATAATTTTAATCAAAACTACATTAGACTTTTTAGAAAATGGCAATTTAAAAACTATGTGGGAAAACGAAGGACCTCAAATTGTCAAAATAATTTCAAAATACGAATAAATTTGGAGAACTTATATGACTTCATGGCATCATTTGAAAAGAGCAATTAAAGCAGTGTGGCATGGGCATAGCATAGATACAGATTTCAATGGAACAGAATAGATTGTCTAGTTGTAAAGATCTCATATACTTCTGGTTGGAATGGAAAGTCACGCAGCCAGTTTTGAAAACAGGTTAGTAGTTTAACCAGTTTAATCAAATACTTAGCATATGGCCCAGCAATCCCAATCTTGTTTTATCCAAGAGTAATAAAAATTTGTGTCCACACAAAGACCTGTACCTCAATGTTTATAGCAATTTTATTCATAATAGTCAGAAAACAACAACCCCATACTCATCAACCAGTAAAAAACAATTTTTCTACATAATAAGGAATTGCTGATACATGACATAACATAAATGGATCTTGAAAATATATTATGTGGAAAAGCCAGGTTTGAATGGATTAATGTATAATTATTATACGATTCAATTATATGGCATTCTGGAAAAGACAAACTATAATGAAAGAAGCAGCCATTCCTAAACGTTAGTGGGGTGATGGAGGGTACTCACTACAAAGGGAAGTGAGGGAACTTCCAGCAGTAATAAAAATAATCTTGTTTATAGTGATGATTACATGGCTGTGAATGTTTTTAAAAATTCAGCAAATTACATACCTTTAAAACGTAAATTTTTTTTTATGTAAGCAATATTTATTTATTTATTTATTTATTTATTTATTTATTTTTGAGAAGGAGTTTCGCTCTTGTTGCCCAGGCTGGAGTGCAATGGCACAATCTTGGCTCACCGCAACCTTCGCCTCCTTGGTTCAAGTGATTCTCCTGCCTCAGCCTCCTGAGTAGCTGGGATTACAGGCACGTGCCACCATTCCTGGCTAATTTTTGTATTTTTAGTAGAGATGGGGTTTCTCCATGTTGGTCAGGCTGGTCTCGAACTCCCGACCTCAGGTGATTTGCCCACCTTGGCCTCCCAATAATCTGTACTTTAAAAAGTAAACTATGTCATTTATCACAATAATAGAAAAAAGAGAAAAACATTCAAGTCAATAGAAGCAGAAAGGTATTTTGATAAAATAGTTAACAACTGCATTCATTTTAAGAAAAGAAACCCAAAACCTCTTAACAAACTAGAATGAGAAGGAAATGTCTCCAATCTGATGAAGACTGTCTAATCAAATTGAAGAACACAATTAATGGTGATACAGTAAAAACTTTTCCCCTGTGAAGGAGACCCATTTTGAATGCTTATAGGTTGCATTCTACATAAAGTCTTTGCCAGCGCATTAAATAAAAAGAAATATAAAAATTGTATGAGAAGTGGTGTAGACATCATTATTCATAGAAAAATGATTATTTAGAAAACTACAAAAAAGTACACATATAAACAATTACAATAACTGAATTTACCAATATCAGTGGATATAAGATCAATATTAAAATAATATGTTGACAGCAAAGAGAAAAACAAACTGTCATCATCTATTCAGGCTGCTATAACTAAATACCTGAGACTGGGTAATTTATTTAAAAAATTAGAAATTTATTTCTCACAGTTCTGGGGACTGGGAAGTCTAAGGAGAAGTCACTAGCAAACTTGGTGTCTGGTGAGGGCCTGTTCCTTAGTCATCACATGGTGAAGGAGCAAGATTGCTTTCATTTACAAGGATATATATTTTAAAAAAAAAAAAATAAAGGCACTAGGGAGGCTGAGGCAGGAGAATGGTGTGAACCCAAGAGGTGGAGCTTGCAGTGAGCCAAGATCACGCCACTGCACTCCAGCCTGGGGCACAGAGCGAGACTCCGTCTCAAAAAAAATAAAAAAATAAAAAAATAAAGGCGCTAATCCCTTTCATGAAGACAGAGACCTAATGATTTAATCACTCCCCAAAGGACCCTACTCTTAATACTATTGCATTGGTGATTACGTTTCAACATACTAATTTTAGGGGGACACACAACTTAAGACTATAGAGCAAACTATTTTTAATAATACACTTACATTAGTGTAAAAAGGCAACATATACTTAAAGAATAAATCAAAGCTCCATACACACAAAACTACAACATATGATTGAGATAACTAAGATTGAGTATTTCAATGAATGTGTCCTGTGTATAGATAGAAACACTTAGAATTGTAAATTTATCAATTTACAAATGTTCTCTAGATTTGAAATAATCCCCAGGAAAGCATCCCAGCTGCTTTTCTTATAGAAAATGTCAAAATTATTCCAAAATTTATATGAGAATATAAAGCCCAAAGAACAGCCAGGACATATGTGAAGAAAAAATTTTAACTCTTGTTGATATCTAAACTTACTAAAAAGACACTTTACTTGCTAAACTTACTAAAAAGACACTTTAATTATGACAGTGTGACATTGGTGCAAGAAAAGCTAAATAGATCCCTAGCACTTACTAAAAAGTCCAGAAAAAGATTCACTGGGACAGTCACTTGATATTTGATAAAGATAAACTGCAAATGATTAAAAGAAAAGAGGACATTTTAAGTGAATTATATGGGTCCAACTATATAACTATATGAGAGAAAACAGACTTTGATTCCTACTTTACTACAATTCCAAGTGGATTTTAAATTTCAAAGTGAAATATAAAACAACAAAGCTTCTTGATGATGATATAGGAGAATATTAGTATTGTCTTGAGTTAAGCAACAATCTATTAAAGGGTCACAAAATGTACTACTAATAAAGAAAATGAACAATATATTGTAATGCATTAAATTTAAAGTTATCTGGTCAACAAATTATTCCTATGAGAGTAAAAAGGACAAGTAGAAGGACAGGAGACTATAGTGCTTACACATGTATCTGACAAATAACACATTTAAGATACACAAAGAATAGCTACAAACCAAATAAGGGAAAAAAAGGAAATGATTTGGCTATCTACTTTTTAAGAGAAGATATCATAATTATCAATAAATGTAAAATAGTGCTCAATTTCATCCATCAGAAGGAAGCAAATTAAAATCACAATGAGATACCACTATATAACCACCAGCATGGCTTAAATTAATAATATTAATAATTCCAGTGTAAGTCAAAATGTAAAGCTATTGGGAGTCTCATATTCTGCTGGTAGAAGTAGTAAGTGGGTGGTATTGCCTAGGTTTTCTTCTAGGGTTTTTATGGTTTTAGGTCTAACATTTAAGTCTTTAATCCATCTTGAATTAATTTTTGTATAAGGTGTAAGGAAGGGATCCAGTTTCAGCTTTCTACATATGGCTAGCCAGTTTTCCCAGCACCATTTATTAAATAGGGAATCCTTTCCCCATTTCTTGTTTTTGTCACGCTTGTCAAAGATCAGATGGTTGTAGATATGCAGCATTATTCAGGACGTAGGCATGGGCAAGGACTTCATGTTTAAAACACCAAAAGCAATGGCAACAAAAGCCAAAATTGACAAATGGATCTAATTAGACTAAAGAGCTTCTGCACAGCAAAAGAAACTACCATCAGAGTGAACAGGCAACCTACAGAATGGGAGAAAATTTTTGCAATCTACTCATCTGACAAAGGGCTAATATCCAGAATCTACAATGAATTCAAACAAGTTTACAAGAAAAAAACAAACAAACCCATCAACAAGTGGGCGAAGGATATGAACAGATACTTCTCAAAAGAAGACATTTATGCAGCCAAAAGACACATGAAAAAACGCTCATCATCACTGGCCATCAGAGAAATGCAAATCAAAACCACAATGAGTTATCATCTCATACCAGTTAGAATGGCAATCATTAAAAAGTCAGGAAACAACAGGTGCTGGAGAGGATGTGGAAAAATAGGAACACTTTTACACTGTTGATGGGACTGTAAACTAGTTCAACCATTGTGGAAGTCAGTGCAGTGATTCCTCAGGGGTCTAGAACTAGAAATACCATTTGACCCAGCCATCCCATTACTGGGTATGTACCCAAAGGATTATAAATCATGCTGCTATAAAAATACATGCACACGTGTGTGTATTGTGGCACTATTCACAATAGCAAAGACTTGGAACCAACCCGAATGTCCAACAACGATAGACTGGATTAAGAAAATGTGGCACATATACACCATGGAATACTATGCAGCCATCAGAAATGATGAGTTCATGTCCTTTGTAGGGACATGGATGAAGCTGGAAACCATCATTCTCAGCAAACTATCGCACGGACAAAAAAACCAAAACACTGCATGTTCTCATTCACAGGTGGGAATTGAACAATGAGAACACATGGACACAGGAAAGGGAACATCACACTTTGGGGCCTGTTGTGGGGTGGGGGGAGTGGGGAGGGATAGCATTAGGAGATATACCTGATGTTAAATGACGAGTTAATGGGTGCAGCGCACCAACATGGCACATGTATACATATGTAACTAACCTGCACATTGTGCCCATGTACCCTAAAACTTAAAGTATAATTAAAAAAAAAAAAGAAGTAGTAAGTGGGACTGAAACATGTAAACAGTATGCTGCAGCAATGTAAATCCCAGGTATAGTCCCAACAGAAATGTGCCCCTTTTGTTCACAAAAATCATGTTTATCACAGCACTATTGATGGTGGTAAAAAACTAGAAAAGGTTCTCCTCCTCAAATGAACAATGAACATAAAAACTGCAAAAGCAGAATGAAGAAACTGTGTGTGTGTGTGTGTGTGTGTGTGTGTGTGTGTGTGTGTGTCTTTGATTACTATGCATCATGAAAATGAATGAACTAGAGCTACCACATCAGAAACTGCCGAAATGAATTGATGGTGTTTGGATAGTGGTTACCTGTTCTAAGGATAGTAATAAATGACGGGTAAGAGGCATAGAAGGAGATTTTGGGTGTTGCACTGTTCTCAATCTCACTTTCTCTTTTTTTCCCTTTCTCCCTCCCCATCTGTATTAGTCAGGGTTCTTTTAGAAGGACAGAACTAATAGGATGGATGGATGGATGGATGGATGGATGGATGGATGGATGGATGGATGGATGAATGGGAGGGAGGGAGGGAGGGTGGGTGGAAGGAAGGGAGGGAGGGTGGAAGGAAGGAAAGGAGGAAAGGAAAAAAGAAAGAAAAAAAGAAAGAAAGAAAGAAAGAAAGAAAGAGAAAGAAAGAAAGAAAGAAAAGAAAGAAAGAGAAAAACAAAGGAAAGAAAAGAAAGCAAAGAAAAGAAAAAAAGAAAGAATTTATTAAGTACTAACTTACGCAATCATAAGGTCCTACAATAGGCTGTCTGCAAGCTGATGAATAAGGAGAGGCAGTCAGAGTCTCAAAACAGAAGAACTTGGAGTGCAATCTTAGAGCTCAGGAAGCATCCAGCATAGGAGAAAGAGGTAGGCTGGGAGGCTAGGCCCATTGTCTTGTAGCTTCACGTTTTTATGCCTGCTTTATAGTCACTGGCAGCTGATTAGATGGTGCCCACCTGAAAAGGGTGGGTCTGCCTTCCCCAGTCCACTGGCTCAAATGTTAATCTCCTTTGGCAACACCCTCACAGACACACCCAGGATCCATATTGCATCCTTCAATCCAATCAAGTTGACACTTGGTATTAACCACCACACCATCCCCCTCTCCTCTTTCCCCTCTCTCTTTTACCAGTGGTACACTAATGAGTTTTCATTAAAAAAAAATGATTTCAACTTTTATTTTAGATACAGGGCAAATATATATATATATATATATACACACACACACACAGATATATATATATACACAAATATATACAATATATACACATATATACATATATGTACACACATATATATGCAGGTTTGTTACATGGGAATACGGTATAATGCTGAGGTTTGTGGTACAGATCTCGTCACCCAGGTAGTGAGTATAGTACCCAATAGGTAGTTTTTCAATCTATGCTCCACTCTTCTACTTCCCCCCAGTAGGCCTGTAGTGTCTATTGTTCTCATCTTTATGTCCATGTGTACTCAATGTTTAGCTCCCATGTAAAAGTGATAACATACAGTGCTTGGTTTTCTGTTTTTACATTAGTTTGTTTCGGATTATGGCCTCCAGTTACATCCATGTTGCTGCAAAGGACATGGTTTTATTCCTTTTTATGGCTATGTAGTATATACCACATTTCTTTATCCAGTCCACCACTGATAGGCACCTAGGTGGTTGGTTCCATGTTTTTGCTACTGTGAATAGTGCTGCAATAAACATACAAGTGTCTTTTTGGTAGAACAATTTGTTTTCTTTGGGTATATACCTAGTAATGGGATTGCTAGGTTGAATGGTAGCTCTGTTTAAAGTTCTTTGAGAAATCTCCAAACTGGCAGTCAGTTCGGGCTAGAGTGTCTCAGAAAGACATGAAGAGTCCTGGGGTATGGACACTTATGGCTATGCTCCATCAGAGATGCTCCACACCAAAAAAATTTAAAAAGCCCCTGGACTCCAGGGCAGCTGAAACCCTGATTCTGACTACTCCCCAGTTAATTTAGCCATTAATTCCACTGCCAGCTCAAATGTCCATGGGTCCATGGGAGACATAGGGTCTCCTTAAAGCTAGGATCCTAGAGGGTCATGATAAAATTAGTCTGTCAGTCCCTTTCCTCACCACTTCCTTAGGAGCCATTCTGGTATCCTACGCAGTGTTCCCAACTTCCTCGCTCTTCAGCCTCAGAGTCTGTACCTCTTTATCCACTCTTGGTGTTTTCTCTTTGAGGTCTGCTCAAAGTATGTTGGTTAACTTGATATTTTGGTCTATCTCAGTGGGAGTGGCACTTACTTGCTATGTCTAGTTGGCCATCTTGTCCCTATAGCCATGTCCTTTTTTGGAAAACTCATCTATCCAAACACTTAAAATTTGTTCACTTATATCCATATGTGCTACAGTTTGATTAAAATTATAAAAATAACTTGATGACTTATTACTTTACTGACCTCATCTCCTTCTCCTCTCTCCCTCTATAGGTCCACCCAAATTATATAAGGCTCCTTGCTCTTCCTCAGACCTACAAATCTCAAACCCTTAGCAAGTGTTATTCCTCTACATAGTGATCCTGTGCTCTCTCCCCCTTTCTCAAATATCCCTGTCACTGCCTAATTCTCCTAAATAATACATTAACTCTTTTCCTATCCTCTTCTTTCTAAATTTTCTGTTTCTGTTATTCTGCTTTTATCTCCGTAGTACCTAATCCTCATCTGATGTTTAGTTACTACACTCGTTTATTGACTGTCTCTCTCTGCTAGAATCTAAACTGAATTGTATTTATTTATGTATCCCCAGAACCTAGAAAACTGCCTTCTTGTAGTAGATGGATGCTAAATATTACTTGAAATGATAAATTAATCTCCTATTCCCACCACCAAGTCTTGAAAATGCTCATTTTATATATTTGCTTCAAATCTTATTTTATAATAGGAAGTATTTATAGATAAAGTTTAAGTACCTTTGCCTCCATTTCCAGTCTTAATGTGAAATCCTTCTCTGGGGCAAAATTGCCATGAATTTTATTCTTATCTTTCAGTCATTTTATTTTACATTTGCTGCTGTGTACCTGTAAATCATATACAGTATCTTAAGCTTTTTAAAGCCAAATAAATAGCATACTCTATGTAGCCCTCTGAAACTTGCTTATTTCACAGTGCACTTTCAAGATCCCGCAACGTTGTTTCAGGACCTACTCCATTCTTCTTAACAGCTGAGTTATATTTTATAATTATACTCCAACCTAGTACCCATCTTTTTATGGTTGGTATTTTATTTTTAATTACAATTTTTACATCTGCAAGAAACAATATTGTAGTAAAGAAGCTTGTACGTGTCTTTAGGTAGAAATACAA
Organism: Homo sapiens; assembly: GCF_000001405.40. Classification (NCBI taxonomy): domain Eukaryota; kingdom Metazoa; phylum Chordata; class Mammalia; order Primates; family Hominidae; genus Homo; species Homo sapiens. Next base: position 49,466,228 of record NC_000011.10, on the reverse strand, counting down.
AGTTTCTCTAAAGCAGTGATTCCTAAAAGTGTGGTCACCAGAATTGCCTCATCGTCATGTCTCAGGAAATCACCAAAAATTTAAAATAAGTTTCATCTCTTATTTTCCTAGAACATATTTCTAAAAATGACTAATACCTTTACTGAGACTTTAACAGTATCCGTTTGACATACTAATTGTCATACTAATTGACAGATTGTTTTCAGTAAGTTCAGACAAATTATATCTTTCCCCAGGCAGTATTTAAGACAGCTTGTTTCACAACCGTCTCATAAACATCTTTTTTAAAAGTATTATTTATCTTTTCTAAAAAATATTTTTGATACATAAAAAATTATAATGAAGCTACATAATAATTTTGAGATTATTAGGTTGAAAATGTGATTTTGTCTTTTAGTGACATTGTATTTCCTTTATTTCTTCTTTTCTTTTTTATGGAATTATATATTTATATCCTCTGACCCCATTGCTTTAGAGAAATTAATATTTTTAATAGTAATTAATTGTATATATCAATTTACTTACTTTGTTTTTATTAATACAGGGTTATTTTCTAAACTAGGGCCAATAAAATTCACATATACTTGCTTTTGACTTTTTGTTATTTGAATTAACAAATGACAAATAACAAATTACAAATAACAGAAAGTCAAAAGCAAGTATAACAAACAACAAATAACAAATAACAAATAAAAAGTAAAATAACAAATAACAAAACGTTAACAAATAACTATTATCACAAAAGGATGTTAAATTTGTTGAATACTTTTTTCTATTAATACATCTATTAAAATGTCCTATGATCATGTGATTTTTCTCAAATATAACTGTGAAATTTGTATATTAACTATCCTTGCATCTTTGGGATAATCCCTCTTGATGATAGTGAACCAGCCTTCTGTTGAATTCACTGTCAAATTCAGTGTTTTAGTATTCTTTGAAGATTTTTGCATCTATGTTCATTAGGAATATTGGCCTGTAATTTTGTTTTGTCATACTCTCCTAGTCTGGCTTTGGTATCAAGGTAAAGCTGGCCTTCTGAAATGAGTTTGAAAGTATTCTCGCCACTTAAATGTTTTGGAAGAGTTTGTGATGGATTTGTATTAGTTCTTTAAATGTTGGTAGAACTTATCTCTGAAGTCATCAGGTCCTAAGCTTTTCTTTGATGGAAGAATTTTTATTACTAATTCACTCTTCTGTACTCATTTTTGGTCTATTAAGATTTTCTATTTTTTCATGATTCAGTTTTGGACATTGTGTGTTTCTTGGAATTTATCTATTTTCTTCTAGTCTACCCAATTCGTTGTTCTTAGTAGTCTCTTATGATTTTTGTATTTCTATGGTATCTGTTGTAATGTCTCCTCTTTCATTTCTGATTGTATTTATTTGCGTCTTTTTTTTTCTTATTCTCAATAAAGGTATGTCAATTTTGTTTACCTTGTTAAAAACCAATTCTTAGCTTCATTGATCTTTTGTGCTATTTTCATTTACTTCTTCTCTGATCTTTATTATTTCCTTCCTTCTGTTAACTTTAGGCATAGTTTGACCTTTATTTTCAGTTTTTTGAAGTACAGCATTGGATTATGTATTTGGAATTTTTTTTGTTAATGTAGGCATTTATTGTTGTAAACATCCTTCTTAAAACTGCTCTTTCTTGTAAATTTCTTTGAGTTCATTGTAGATTCTGGATATTAGCCCTTTGTCAGATGAGTAGGTTGTGAAAATTTTCTCCCATTTTGTAGGTTGCCTGTTCACTCGGATGGTAGTTTCCTTTGCTGTGCAGAAGTTCTTTAGTTTAATTAGATCCCATTTGTCAATTTTGGCTTTTGTTGCCATTGCTTTTGGTGTTTTCCACATTAAGTCCTTGTCCATGCCTATGTCCTGAATGGTATTGCCTAGGTTTTCTTCTAGGGTTTTTATGGTTTTAGGTCTAATATTTAAGTCTTTAATCCATCTTGAATTGATTTTTGTATAAGGTGTAAGGAAGGGGTCCAGTTTCAGCTTTCTACATATGGCTAGCCAGTTTTCCCAGCACCATTTATTAAATAGGGAATCCTTTCCCCATTGCTTGTTTTTGTCAGGCTTGTCAAAGATCAGATGATTGTAGATGTGTGGTATTATTTCCGAGGGCTTTGTTCTGTTCCATTGATCTATCTCTCTGTTTTGGTACCAGTACCATGCTGTTTTGGTTACTGTAGCCTTGTAGTATAGTTTGAAGTCAGGTGGCGTGATGCCTCCGGCTTTGTTTTTTTGGCTTATGATTGACTTGGTGATGCGGGCTCTTTTTTGGTTCCATATGAACTTTAAAGTAGTTTTTTCCAATTCTCTGAAGAAAGTCATTGGTAGCTTGATGGGGTTGGCATTGAATCTATAAATTACCTTGGGCAGTATGGACATTTTCAAGATATTGATTCTTCCTACCCATGAGCATGGAATGTTCTTCCATTTGTTTGTATCCTCTTTTATTTCATTGAGCAGTGATTTGTAGTTCTCCTTGAAGAGGTCCTTCACGTCCCTTGTAAGTTGGATTCCTAGGTATTTTATTCTCTTTGAAGCAATTGTGAATGGGAGTTCACTCATGATTTGGCTCTCTGTTTGTCTGTTATTGGTGTATAAGAATGCTTGTGATTTTTGCACATTGATTTTGAATCCTGAGACTTTGCTGAAGTTGCTTATCAGCTTAAGGAGATTTTGGGCTGAGACAATGGGGTTTTCTAGATATACAATCATGTCATCTGCAAACAGGAACAATTTGACTTCCTCTTTTCCTAATTGAATACCCTTTATTTCCTTCTCCTGCCTAATTGCCCTGGCCAGAACTTCCAACACTATGTTGAATAGGAGTGGTGAGAGAGGGCATCCTAGTCTTGTGCCAGTTTTCAAAGGGAATGCTTCCAGGTTTTGCCCATTCAGTATGATATTGGCTGTGGGTTTGTCATAGATAGCTCATTATTTTGAGATACATCCCATCAATACCTAATTTATTGAGAGTTTTTAGCATGAAGCGTTGTTGAATTTTGTCAAAGGCCTTTTCTGCATCTATTGAGAGAATCATGTGGTTTTTGTCTTTGGTTCTGTTTATATACTGGATTATATTTATTGATTTGCATATGTTGAACCAGCCTTGCATCCCAGGGATGAGGCCCACTTGATCATGGTGGATAAGCTTTTTGATGTGCTGCTGGATTCGGTTTGCTAGTATTTTATTGAGGATTTTTACATCAATGTTCACTAAGGATATTGGTCTAAAATTCTCTTTTTTGGTTGTGTCTCTGCCAGGCTTTGGTATCAGGATGATGCTGGCCTCATAAAATGAGTTAGGGAGGACTCCCTCTTTTTCTATTGATTGGAATAGTTTCAGAAGGAACGGTACCAGCTCATCCTTGTACCTCTGGTGGAATTCAGCTCACACCAGTTAGAATGGTGATCATTAGAAAGTCAGGAAACAACAAGTGCTGGAGAGGATGTGGAGAAATAGGAACACTTCTACACTGTTGGTGGGACTGTAAACTAGTTCAACCATTGTAGAAGTCAGTGTGGCGATTCCTCAGGGATCTAGAACTAGAAATACCATTTGACCCAGCCATCCCATTACTGGGTATATACCCAAAGGATTATAAACCATGGTGCTATAAAGACACATGCACACGTATGTTTATTGTGGCACTATTCACAATAGCAAAGACTTGGAACCAACCCGAATGTCCAACAACGATAGACTGGATTAAGAAAATGTGGCACATGTACACCATGGAATACTATGCAGCCATCAAAAAAGATGAGTTCATGTCCTTTGTAGGGACATGGATGAAACTGGAAACCATCATTCTCAGCAAACTATCACAAGGACAAAAAACCAAACACCGCATATTCTCACTCATAGGTGGGCATTGAACAATGAGAACACATGGACACAGGAAGGGGAACATCACACTCCAGGGACTGTTGTGGGGTGGGGGGAGGGGGAAGGGGGAGGGATAGCATTAGGAGATATGCCTAATGCTAAATGACGAGTTAATGGGTGCAGCACACCAACATGGCACATGTATACATATGTAACAAACCTGCACATTGTGCACATATACTCTTAACCTTAAAGTATAATAATAATAAATTTTTTAAAAAAAAATAGCAAGTAAAAAAACTGCTTTTGCTACATCCCATAAGTTTTAGTAGTTTGTGTTTCCATTTTCTCTTCTCTAAAAGTTTTAAATTTCCTTTTTAATGTTTTCATTGACCCATTTGTTGTTCAGAAACATATTTTTAAGTTTCCATGTATTTTTGAATTTTTTGAAATTCTTTCTATTGTTGATTTCTAGTTGCATACCATTTTGGTCAGAAAAGATACTTGATTATTTCAATCTTCTTAAATTTGTTAAGACTTGTTTTGTGTCTAAACATATGATCTATCCTTATGATAATCCATGTGTGTTCGACAATAATGCACATTTTCTGTTGCTGTTAGAATGTTCTGTATATATCTGTTGGGTCCACTTGATCTAAAATGTGGTGTAAGCCCTATGTTTCTCTGTTGAGTGCAGTGGGGTGGAGGGAGAGCATCAGGATGAATAGCTAATGGGTACTGGGCTTGCTTAATACCTGGTTGATGGATTGATCTGTGAAGCAAACCACCATGGCACACGTTTACCTACATAACAAAATAACAAACATGCACATCCTGCACATGTACCCTGAACTTAAAATGAAAGCTGGAAATCAAAAAATAAAAATAAAAATAAAACATAAATGATCCAATTGGGAAAAATTATCTAAAACCTATCTTATCACCTAAAAAATATTCAGAAAATACAAAAAGTGGAGAAAGAAACAAAATAACAAAATTAATTATATTTCCTTTTTGTGAAATTTCTATCTACTTCCTTTGCTATTTTATATTAGATTTTGGTTTTATTATTGCATTGTATAGGTTGTTCACAATTTTTAAAAATTAGTTCTTTTTGTCATAAACATTATAAATATTTTTTAGTTATTATCTTTTAATGTTTTAATGGTACTTTTTTGCTATTCAGAAGTTATTCCTTTTCATATGGTTTCTTTTTAATTCAGTCATTTGTTCATGGCTTTAAGGTCATGAACATTTGTTTCTTATACAGTAGTACTATCTGTAAAAAGAGTGAGTTGCTCTAAATCTCTAATTTCCTTTCTGGACTTTACAACTGGATAATCTCTTTTTGAAGAAATGACAGTAATACATTAGTACAGTTGCAGGTCTTTACTGGAATTTTTAGTTACAGCTTAATCATGCTTTTAGTTATGATTAATAGGTAAGTTACAAATAGGGAAGTTCAATTTATAGTTAAAATTATTTTTCTCCTCTATTCATTTTAAGGTTTGACAAGGGACTCTAAGCTGTTCTCAGGTTTGTAAAACAAACAAACAAACAAAAACTTTCTGGCGTGGAGATGGGGTTGAAAAGTTTGAGGAGGTTGAAGACTCCAAAAGAAAGAATTGGTTGAAGACTTGTTTATTCTGTTTCTACACAAATATCAGATTTGGGAAAAACTAAAGACGAGGGCATCTGGGTCATTAAATCAGCCTAACACTACAACAGCGATTAAGCAAAGCTGATGGTGTCTGTAAATGCTCTTCAACTTGGATGGTGGGAAAGGGTGTAGAAAGTATGAAGAACTATTTAAGAACATACTAAGTTCCAGGTCTTGTGACAGAAATTTTTCATATGTTACTTCTATAGATGTGACCTGCCTCAGGAAGAAATGTCTGCCTCATACACTTAAATTACCCTCTTATGTACTCTTGTCTACCCTGTGCATCCTCATCATGCTGTACTCTGCTTACTTGCCTGTTTTCTTAACAGTGTTCACCATTAGTTCTGCATGGATCACATCCAGTTTGTTCATAGTTTTATTGCTAGGACCTAGCAAAATGTCAAGAAATATGATATGTGTCCAGGAAATATTTAAGCCCTTTAAATATTGTATTCAATCATTCATTCACATTTATTAATTCAATGAATCTATTCACTCATTAATTTATTTAGAAAATACTTATTGAGCTCCTGACACTAAACTAGGCAATAGGTTATAGCAGTGAACAAAAACCTCAAAAGCTTAAGTTATTATCAATATTATTTCAGTTAATTCTCACAATTAACTAAAATTGTATCACTACAATTAGAGTATTGCAGTCCATTTGTATAAATGTTAATATAATTTAATATATTAATATATTTTATGTTATAAGTTATATTACTATAATAGATATTATATAGTATATTATATATACTATATAATATAGTATATACTATACATATAATATATATATTTCATATTAATATAATAGTGAAATTGTCTCACTACAATTATGTAAGTTATTGCAGTGCATTTTTATAAATGAGAAAACTGAAGATAAAGAGAAAAAATAATTCACTTTTCTTTAAATGGATACTAAAAGATGATACCATGTTTTGAACCCAGATCTTCTGAGCAATTTAAATCACATTATACTGTTTCCCACCATAGATTATATTATAAATATTTTGGCATAGTGAAGAGCATGGAAAGAGCCAGGTGTGGATACACTTCTGAAGAAGATAAAGATATGTTATTATTTCAGAGAAAGATGAGTGTCCAGGATAAAATTTCAGAAGGGACTTCTTTGGCTCTTTATTGACTTTGTTTTTTGGGTTTTCTTTGTTTGTCTGTTTGTTATGTTTTTTGAGATGGGGTCTTTCTCTGTTGCCCAGGCTGGAGTGCAGTGGTGCAATCTCCACTCACTGCAACCTCCACCTCCCAGGTTCAAGTGATTCTTCTTCCCCAGCCTCCTGAGCAGCTGGGATTACAGGCACCCACCACCACGCCCAGCTAATTTGGGTGTTTTTTTTAGTAGAGGCAGGGATTCACCATTTGGCCAGGCTGGTCTCAAACTCCTGACCTCAGGTGATCACCCATCTCAGACTTCCAAAGTGCTGGGATTACAGGCATGAGCCACCGTGCCCAGCCTCTTTATTGACTTTATAGCACATAGACCTGCTAGTGTGGAAGGACTTTGGTGAAGGTGGTCATCTGGACCTTGGAGATAAACTGGAGGGCTCTATTCTGACAACTAGCATTTCAGAAATTTTTCCATATAGAACGTTGTGTCAGGAGTGGTTAATTGCAGTGTGGGCCAATGGAAGAAACTTTTTTACATTTAGAATCTGTTAATTAGTATCCCTGGGAGTTCAGATAAATAATGTAGCTTTTTTGAGACTTCTTTTCTTCATCACTAAAATGGGAATCTCTAAAGAGGTCCTGACCAACTCAGAAGTTATAGAAATCAAAGAAGGTATGAATCTAAAATGCTCTCTATAAAGAGTAGGGAGCATAGTGTGGTAATGAATTAAAGAGTCAGAGAGACCTCGACTCAGGTATGAGTCAGTTAACCACTCAATCACAGAGCCTCTGCTCTATATAATGGATATCACATAATTCCACCTTTGTCAGGGTGTTGGAAGTATTTTAAGTAACACTTAGGTGATAACTGAATAATAAGATGCTACAATAATTATCATTCTCCAACAATTTGAATGCCTATTCTTCAAAAATTGTGTTATTATCAAAAGTTTATAGGTTTTGCATGATTCCAGAGTGGGCATGGCAAAGGGATACAGTGCTTTATTGGGGTTTAGAGGTCCCAATAAATTGATATAAATGTTACAGGGTAGTATTGATGTTTTAGAAGATTCCATTTTATCATTTTATCTATTCATTCTACATTCATTCAATAAATACTTATTTAGCATGTGTAGGCCACTCACTGGACACTTCAGCTTCTGCATTCTTCCTAAACAGGCATGTTAATGTACATGCAAATGGGGATTCCACCTATACTTATAAGTCAAGAGGTGGTTCAAGCATCACCTTGTCAGTGCAGCTTTCTCCACTTCCCCAAGGTCCTTACTCCAGTCTTTTGAGTCTCCAAGAATTTGGGGGCTGACCTTTTATGTCAAGCTTAAGACATTGTATTAGAATTGTATTATTATGAATTATATTATACTTGTCCAGTTTACCTAGCAAGATCTTGAATTATAATTTCAATTCTCATTTTATCTATCACATCTTTGTATCTGTAGTTTTCTGTGCTCAGGGTAATTCCCAGCACACAATGTTTAGTTGAATTAATAAAGTATAACAATGTCCAACTGCAGTGTGTTAACTAGCAAACTGGCTAAGAAATGTAGTTGAAATATACTCTCTGCTGTCGTTTCTCAAAGCACTCTATAAATACATTTAGTGAACTCTTGCATACAATGGAAAATTCAGTAACCATTAAAATTATGTGTATTTATAATTGTTGGTTTTTAAAATATTTATTATTTATTATTAAATAAGGAAGGTTATAGAATAGGATATTTAATAATATTCCATTTCAAAAGCATATGCATGTATATTCAAATGCAAATATATCTATTAACAGAGGTGAGAAGGGTATAAAAATGTTGGTAATGGACCTCTGGTTGGTAGAATTATGCATAAATTTTATTTCCTTTGTGTTTTACAAATTTTAAAACTTTTTTGCAATGGATATGTACATTTTTGCAATAATATCAAAAATAGAGGCTATTTCCAAAACTGTACAGATAAATAAGCAAACAAACATACAAAAGGGTAGAGAGGGATGTGTTATCATTTGCCTATACTCTTAAAGTTGCTTAAACTTGTGTTTGTTTCCTTTTATCTATTTTTATTAAAGAAATTACTGGTGACTCATATTTTCCAGAATTATCTCTCTCGTAGATTGATTGAATAAAGAGATCTACTAGGCAGTTGAGCTCCAGGTTCTGCATTTTTCCTGACACAATCTGTATTTCTCTCTGTCCAGCTCCAGCTTCTGAAATGCCCTCTCAGCTTAGCATGGCCTGCTTATGGCGAGAACCATGTATTCAATGACTCCTCCTTATTTCTGCAGGTCTTCAAATATTCCTTTTGGTAATTCTCTGCATGGAATTAACTCTTGCAAATCCATGTCTCACTTTTGTGTGACCTATTTTGTCTTATGCTACATGTTTTAGCAGTAGATTGGAAGCTTTTATGTGCATAGCTTTCTCAGGAGGAAAGTAAGGGGTTTGTGCTAGATGGTGCACCTTCGATAAATGTCAGAACAGCAGAAAAGGGGCTTTAGAAATATTTCCTTCCTTGCACTTTCCCATTCAAGAATGGCTTATACAGAAAAAAAACAAGCACACCTCGGCACATATGCATTCCTTCATCTGTTAATTCAACTAACATTAAGTACCCTTTATGTGTCATGTGTTATATTAGACCATGGGGATGAAGTGATTACTAAATACTATTATTCTCCACCTAGTTTCCTCCAGGGCAGATATGTCAACAACTAAGTAATGTAAAGCAAAACGTAACACTGCAGTAATAGTGGCTCAATAGGACAGGATATTTGGAAGTGAGAAAAAGAGCACCAAAGAATAGGGACCACAGGAGTAGTCCTCTTTAACCCCTGAATCTGCAGCACCTATCACTATGCCTAGCATAAGATAGTCAACGAATAGCTGTTTGATACTATTGTTTGGAATACAATTTTATGACTGGTGGTTCTATGAAGAATGAGTAGATTTTTTACTTGTGACATTTGCGTGTAAAAACAGTCAATACATAGAGAACAAAACAAAAAGGTATAGAAGTATGTGGTTGAAAGAAACTTCAGACAACAGCCAATAGTTACAACATTGCAAAAATACTAAAAACAAAACTAAGGTTTATTGTGTGCTTACTACACACCAAATTCTAAGCGCATCACATGAATTGACTCATTCAATCAATACTTACAGAAGAATAGACTGAAATTCCGAGAGGTTAAGTAACCGGTACTAAATACTGCTTCATAAAGGGTTTAGATGGAGGCTTAATAGAAGGAAAGTGTATATTGGATATAAACAAAGACAGTATACTCTTCCTCCAACAAGGGAGCAGGAACTATCAGGATAAGTGATTATTTTGAACACTAGTCAAGCAGTGCAGTTACTGCTGCAGGAGGCATTCCAAGCAAAACAAGTTGATAAAAAATTTAGCATGCTCAGATGGGACAGGCAGACAGAGAATTGAGGATTAAGAAGAATCTGGAGGAACAGGCTGGGCGTGGTGGCTCACGCCTGTAATCCCAGCACTTTGGGAGGCCAAGGTGGGCGGATTACGAGGTCAGGAGATCAAGACCATCCTGACTAACACGGTGAAACTCCGTCTCTACTAAAAATACAAAAAATTAGCCGGGCATGGTGGCGGGCACCTGTAGTCCCAGCTACTCGGGAGGCTGAGGTAGGAGAATGGCGTGAACCTGGAGGTGGAGCTTGCAGTGAGCCAAGATCGCGCCACTGCACTCCAGCCTGGGCGACAGAGCAAGATTCTATCTCAAAAAAAAAAAGAAAAGAAAAGAATCTGAAGAGGAACAAACAGTGGGCCAAAATTTAAGGGTGGGGAGATGTGCCATTTAGCATGCTCAGAAGCTTGGGCCAGCAGTTTTAACTGATTCTTAAATACTCCAATGTGGCTGGGGCTCAAGGGAGTCAACCTGACTGGACAGGCACTAGCTTAAGAACTGAGACCGAGGTAAAAAAGGCAGGACATGACATCCACCACTAGGAGCTCACAGTCTAGATACTAAATTCTAACTGTGAAGAGGAATCCTGTAGTGGAAGGATCATGAAACCTGGAGTCAGAAGTTCTGTGATTATGTCCTGGGTCTGCTTCAGAACACAAAAGTGTGATCTTAGGAAAGTTGCAGATCTCCAAGCCTAATTTTCCTCACTTAGCAAAAGGCAGTAATAATATTACTTTCCTCATAAGAACCTGAGTTCATACTTTATAAACTATAACACATTAACAAAGACAAGCTCCTGTAAAGAGCTAAAGTATAAGGGGCTTAAAAAAATATTCAATGCTTTTGTTCTTTACTCACTGTACTCTAAATGCTCTCCAGTATTGGCATCACCTCACTGGTTCTCCCATAGCGTGTCTCTTAAATGTGTAGGAATCTAGGTTAGGTGCAAACCTGAAACAATACATTCCAGGGATGGCCAGCCTGCCTCCCTCCTTAGCTACAGATTAATTACATCTTCTGGAGTGACATTTTTGCTGTATTTTCTAGTGAGGCTTCCCTTCTACTCTACTCCCTAAGCCTCCCCTGGGCCATCCTGCTAAGAAGACTGTCCTAACCCACATGCCTTCAAACCAGACGCCTTGCCAACTTGGCAGCCCAGAAACAGTCCAACCAGAAGGGTGGCAGTAAGAAAGGTCCCTGGGGCTTCAGGAATGAACAGCAGATTGCTTCCCTGTTGGTGATTGCAAGGCTGAAGCTTGCTCAGAAAGGCAGAAATCTGAGGGTTATGGGGGTAGGTAAGCTTGGAAACCAGAAAAATGTCTTAAAGTCTATTCTAGCAATCAGATGGGATGGTAGAGGGGGAACTGTCTGTTTCTGGGTTTCTTTTTACACTGTTGGATTGTGACCAGCTTTCAAAACTGCTCCCTGATTTGTTCTCTAAAGCAGAATTAATGCTGTAGAACAAAGAGCAGTTATACCATTATAGTCATACTTGTCTGTATTCTGACAGCTGTTTTTCTTTTTGATGTTATTGTTAGATTTAGCTCTTATACCACTCTGCACTTGTTAGATTGATTCATGGTTTGTCCATCTCTACCACTAAATCATGGGTTCGTGGCAGACAGCATCTATGTATCGATCATTTTTAGCACCTAGCACAGAACCTAGCACATAGGAGACATTCATTACATACTTATTAGACTAAGTTGTTGTATAATTGATAACTCTGAGGCAGGCAGGCATCGACTGGGTTATCAATAGCATTTTGTTGGGGAGTGAAATATTAATCTAAGAGAGTTGAGTTGCTTTCTATCAAGTGATGAAGACATCATGTACTGTAACTAACAACCTAAAGAATGTTCCTACAACAATGTAGCTGCTTTTTGTAGGATTAATATATTCTAGTACTAGGAAAGTTAAATTGCTTAAATTAAAATATTGATAACTTAAAAAGCTTAAAGGAAGGGGGATAAAGAAACATGACTTGTCATTATTGCTGAAATCTTAAAGAGAATTTCAAGATCATAATTCAAATTGTTTATTTTACAAATAAGGAAATTGGGGCCCAGAGAAGGTGATGTGCCCAAAGGCACACAGTTTTCTGCAAAGCAGATGGAAGTGTGTCAACCTCTTCCCTGCAGATTAGGAGATCCTGGGGGGCAATGTGGAATATACTTAATATAGCAGGAGGATATTTAGGCAGACAGAAGCAGCATGA